>NC_000003.12:91438818-91553319 GCF_000001405.40 Homo sapiens | reverse complement strand
GACTCTCTTTTTGTGGAATTTGCAAGTGGAGATTTCACAGCTTTGAGGCCAATGGTAGAAAAGGAAATATCTTCGTATGCAAACTAGACAGAATCATTCTCAGAAACTACTTTGGTACGTGTGTGTTCAACTCACAGTGTTTAACCTTTCTTTTCATAGAGCAGTTTGGAAACACTCAGTTTGTAAAGTCAGCAACTGGATATTTGGATGTATTTGAGGCCTTCGTTGGAAACGGGATTTCTTCATATAATGCTAGACAGAAGAATTCTCAGTAACTTCTTTGGGTTGTGGGTATTCAACTCACAGAGTTGAAGCTTCCTTTAGGCGGAGCAGATTGGAAACACTTTTTGTGGAATTTTCAGGGGGAGACTTCAAGCGCTTTGAAGTGAATGGTAGAAAAGGAAATATCTTCGTATAAAAACTAGACGCAGTCATTCTCAGAAACTACTTTGCGATGTTTGCGTTCAACTCACAGAGTTTAACGTTTCTTTTCATAGAGCAGTTTGGAAACACTCTTTTTGCAGAATCTGCAAGTGGATATTTGGACCTCTTTGTGGCCTTCGTTGGAAACGGGATTTTTCATATAATGCTAGACAGAAGAATTCTCAGTAACTTCTTTTTGTGGTGTGTATTCAACTCACAGAGTTGAACCTTCCTTTAGACAGAGCAGATTTGAAACACTCTTTTTGTGGAATTTGCAAGTGGAAATTTCTAGCAGTATGAGGCCAATGGTACAAAAGGAAATATCTTCGTATAAAAACTAGACGGTATCATTCTCAGAAACTACTTTGGGATGTGTGCGTTCAACTCACAGTGTTTAACACTTCTTTTCATAGAGCACTTTGGAAACACTCAGTTTGTAAGGTTTGCAACTGGATATTTGGACCTCTTTGAGGCCTTCGCAGTAAACGGGATTTCTTCGTGTAATGATAGACAGTAGAATTCTCAGTGAATTTTTTTTGTGTGTGTGTATTCAACTCACAGGGTTGAACTTTCCTTTAGACAGTGCAGATTTGAAACACTTTTTGTGGAATTTGCAAGGGGAGATTTCAAGCACCTTGAGGCCAGTGGTGGAAAAGGAAATATGTTCGTATAAAAACTAGACAGAATCATTCTCAGGAACTACTTTGTGATATGTGCATTCAACTCACAGAGTTTAACCTTTCTTTTCATAGAGGAGTTTGGAAACACTCAGTTTGTAATTCTGCAACTGGATATTTGGACCTCTTTGAGGCTTTCGTTGGAAACGGGATTTCTTCACATAATTCTAGACAGAAGAATTTTAAGTAACTTCTTATGGGTTGTGTGTATTCAACTCAGAGAGTTGAACCTTCCTTTAGACAGAGCAGATTGGAAACCCTCTTTTTGCCGAATTTTCAGGTGGAGATTTCAAGAGCCTTGTGGCCAATGGTAGAAAAGGCTATCTTCGTATAAAAACTAGACGGAATCATTCTCAGAAACTGCTTTGTGATGTGTGTATTAAACTCACAGAGTTGAACATTTCTTTTCCTAGAGCAGTTTGGAAAGACTTAGTTTGTGTAGTGTGCAAGAGGATATTTGGAACTCTTTGAGGTCTTCTTTGGAAACGGGATTTCTTCTTATAATTCTTGACAAAAGAATTCTCAGTAGCTTCTTTGTGTGTGTGTACTCAACTCACAGAGTTGAACCTTCCTTTAGACAGAGCAGATTGGAAACACTCTTTTTGTGGAATTTGCAAGTGGAAATTTCTAGCAGTATGAGGCCAATGGTACAAAAGGAAATATCTTCGTATAAAAACTAGACAGTATCATTCTCAGAAACTACTTTGGGATGTGTGCGTTCAACTCACAGTGTTTAACACTTTCTTTTCATAGAGCACTTTGGAAACACTCAGTTTGTGAAGGTCTGCAAGTGGATATTTGAACCTCTTTGAGGCCTTCGCTGGAAACGGGATTTCTTCGCGTAATGATATACAGTAGAATTCTCAGTGAATTTTTTTTGTTGTGTGTGTATTCAACTCACAGGTTGAACCTTACTTTGGAAAGAGCAGTTTTCTAACACTGTTTTTGTAAAATTTCCAAGTGAATACTTTGAGTGCTTTGAAGCCTATGGTAGACAACGAAATATCTTCATGTAAAAACTACAAAGAATCATTCGCAGAAACCACGTTGTGATCTCTGCATTCAACTCACAGAGTTGAACCTTTCTTCCTATAGAGCAGCTATGAAACAGTCTCTTTGTAGAATTTGCAAGGGTGTATTTAGAGGGCATTGAAGCCTACGGTAGAAAAGGAAATATCTTACCATAAAATCTACTCAGAAGCATTCTCAGAAACTGAGTTGTGATGTTTGCATTCAACTCACAGAGTTCAACATTCCTTTTAATGGAGCGGTTTTGAAACACTCTTTTTGCAGAATCTGCAAGTGGATATTTGGACCTCTTTGAGGCCTTCGTTGGAAACGGGATTTCTTCATGTAATGCCAGACAGAAGAATTCTCAGTGAATTCTTTCTGTGTGTGTGTATTCAACTCACAGAGTTGAACGTTCCTTTAGACAGAGTAGATTGGAAACACTCTTTTTGTGGAATTTTCAGGTGGAGGTATCAAGCGCTTTGAGGCCAATGATAGAAAAGGAAATACCTTCGTATAATAATTAGACGGAATCATTCTCAGAAACTGCTTTGCAATGTGTGCGTTCAACTCACAGTGTTTAACCTTTCTTTTCATACAGTTGTTTCGAAACACTCTTTTTGCAGAATCTGCAAGTGGATATTTGGACCTCTTTGAAGTCTTCGTTGGAAATGGGATTTCTTCATATAATGCTAGACAGAAGACTTCTCAGTAACTGCTTTTTCTGGTGTGTATTCAACTCTCAGAGTTGAACTTTCCTTTAGAAACAGCAGAGTTGAAACTCTCTTTTTGTGGAATTTGCAAGTGGAGATTTCAAAGCTTTGAGGCCAATGGTAGAAAAGGAAATATCTTCGTATGCAAACTAGACAGAATCATTCTCAGAAACTACTTTGGTACGTGTGTGTTCAACTCACAGTGTTTAACCTTTCTTTTCATAGAGCAGTTTGGAAACACTCAGTTTGTAAAGTCAGCAACTGGATATTTGGATGTATTTGAGGCCTTCGTTGGAAACGGGATTTCTTCATATAATGCTAGACAGAAGAATTCTCAGTAACTTCTTAGGGTTGTGGGTATTCAACTCACAGAGTTGAAGCTTCCTTTAGGCGGAGCAGATTGGAAACACTTTTTGTGGAATTTTCAGGGGGAGACTTCAAGCGCTTTGAAGTGAATGGTAGAAAAGGAAATATCTTCGTATAAAAACTAGACGGAGTCATTCTCAGAAACTACTTTGTGATGTTTGCATTCAACTCACAGAGTTTAACGTTTCTTTTCATAGAGCAGTTTGGAAACACTCTTTTTGCAGAATCTGCAAGTGGATATTTGGACCTCTTTGTGGCCTTCGTTGGAAACGGGATTTTTCATATAATGCTAGACAGAAGAATTCTCAGTAACTTCTTTTTGTGGTGTGTATTCAACTCACAGAGTTCAACTTTCCTTTAGACAGAGCAGATTTGAAACTCTCTTTTTGTGGAATTTGCAAGTGGAGATTTCAAGCGCTTTGAGGTCAATGGTAGAAAAGGAAATATCTTCGTAGAAAAAATAGACGGAATCATTCTCAGAAACTGCTTTGGGATGTGTGCATTGAACTCACAGTGTTTAACACTTCTTTTCATAGAGCACTTTGGAAACACTCAGTTTGTAATGTCTGCAGCTGGATATTTGGACCTCTTTGAGGCCTTCGTAGTAAACGGGATTTCTTCGTGTAATGATAGACAATAGAATTCTGAGTGAATTTTTTTCTGTGTGTGTGTATTCAACTCACAGGGTTGAACCTTCCTTTAGACAGTGCAGATTTGAAACACTTGTCTGTGGAATTTGCAAGGGGAGATTTCAAGCACTTTGAGGCCATTGGTGGAAAAGGAAATATCTTCGTATAAAAACTAGACAGAATCATTCTCAGGAACTACTTTGTGATATGTGCATTCAACTCACAGAGTTTAACCTTTCTTTTCATAGATGAGTTTGGAAACAGTCAGTTTGTAAATTCTGCAACTGGATATTTGGACCTCTGTGAGGCTTTCGTTGGAAACGGGATTTCTTCACATAATGCTAGACAGAAGAATTCTCAGTAACTTCTTTTGGGATGTATGTATTCAACTCAGAGAGTTGAACCTTCCTTTAGACAGAGCAGATTGAAAACACGCTTTTTGCGGAATTTTCAGGTGGAGATTTCAAGAGCCTTGAGGCCCATGGTAGAAAAGGCTATCTTCGTATAAAAACTAGACGGAATCATTCTCAGAAACTGCTTTGTGATGTGTGTATTAAACTCACAGAGTTGAACATTTCTTTTCCTAGAGCAGTTTGGAAAGACTTAGTTTGTGTAGTGTGCAAGTGGATATTTGGAACTCTTTGAGGCCTTCTTTGGAAACGGGATTTCTTCTTATAATTCTTGACAAAAGAATTCTCAGTAGCTTCTTTGTGTGTGTGTACTCAACTCACAGAGTTGAACCTTCCTTTAGACAGAGCAGATTGGAAACACTCTTTTTGTGGAATTTGCAAGTGGAAAATTCTAGCAGTATGAGGCCAATGGTACAAAAGGGAATATCTTCGTATAAAAACTAGACAGTATCATTCTCAGAAACTACTTTGGGATGTGTGCATTCAACTCACAGTGTTTAACACTTCTTTTCATAGAGCACTTTGGAAACACTCTGTTTGTAAGGTTTGCAACTGGATATTTGTACCTCTTTGAGGCATTCGCAGTAAACGGGATTTCTTCGTGTAATGATAGACAGTAGAATTCTCAGTGAATTTTTTTTTGTGTGTGTATTCAACTCACAGGGTTGAACTTTCCTTTAGACAGTGCAGATTTGAAACACTTTTTGTGGAATTTGCAAGGGGAGATTTCAAGCACCTTGAGGCCAGTGGTGGAAAAGGAAATATGTTCGTATAAAAACTAGACAGAATCATTCTCAGGAACTACTTTGTGATATGTGCATTCAACTCACAGAGTTTAACCTTTCTTTTCATAGAGGAGTTTGGAAACACTCAGTTTGTAATTCTGCAACTGGATATTTGGACCTCTTTGAGGCTTTCGTTGGAAACGGGATTTCTTCACATAATTCTAGACAGAAGAATTCTAAGTAACTTCTTATGGGTTGTGTGTATTCAACTCAGAGAGTTGAACCTTCCTTTAGACAGAGCAGATTGGAAACCCTCTTTTTGCCGAATTTTCAGGTGGAGATTTCAAGAGCTTTGAGGCCAATGGTAGAAAAGGCTATCTTCGTATAAAAACTAGACGGAATCATTCTCAGAAACTGCTTTGTGATGTGTGCATTAAACTCACAGAGTTGAACATTTCTTTTTCATAGAGCAGTTTGGAAAGACTTAGTTTGTACAGTCTGCAAGTGGATATTTGGAACTCTTTGAGGCCTTCGTTGGAAACGGGATTTCTTATAATTCTTGACAAAAGAATTCTCAGTAGCTTCTTTGTGTGTGTGTATTCAACTCACAGAGTTGAACCTTCCTTTAGACAGAGCAGATTGGAAACACCCTTTTGGTGGAATTTGCAAGTGGAGAATTCTACGATTTGAGGTCAATGGTAGAAAAGGAAATATCTTCGTATAAAAACTAAACAGTATCATTCTCAGAAACTATTTTGTGATGTGTGTGTTCAACTCAGAGTTTAACCTTTCTTTTCATAGAGCAGTTTGGAAACACTCTGTTTATGAAGTCTGCAAGTGGATATTTGAACGTCTTTGAGGCCTTCGTTGGAAACGGGATTTCTTCATATAAACCAGGACAGAAGAATTCTCAGAAACTTCTTCTTTGTTATGTGTGCATTCAACTCACAGAGTTGAACCTTACTTTGGAAAGAGCAGTTTTCTAACACTCTTTTTGTAAAACTTCCAAGTGCATACTTTGAGTGCTTTGAAGCCTACGGTAGACAACGAAATATCTGCATGTAAAAACTACAAAGAATCATTCGCAGAAACCACGTTGTGATCTGTGCACTCAACTCACAGAGTTCAACCTTTCTTTCTATAGAGCAGTTATGAAACACTCTCTTTTTGGAATTTGCAAGGGTGTATTTAGAGGGCACTGAAGCCTACGATAGAAAAGGAAATATCTGACCATAAAAACTAGACAGAAGCATTCTCAGAAACTGAGTTGTGATGTTTGCGTTCAACTCACAGAGTTCAACATTCCTTTTAATAGAGCGGTTTTGAAACACTCTATTTGCAGAATCTGCAAGTGGACATTTGGACCTCTTTGAGGCCTTCGTTGGAAACGGGATTTCTTCATGTAAATGCCAGACAGAAGAATTCTCAGTGAATTCTTTCTGTGTGTGTGTATTCAACTCACCGAGTTGAACGTTCCTTTAGACAGAGTAGATTGGAAACACTCTTTTTGTGGAATTTTCAGGTGGAGATATCAAGCGCTTTGAGGCCAATGATAGAAAAGGAAATACCTTCGTATAATAATTAGACGGAATCATTCTCAGAAACTGCTTTGCAATGTGTGCGTTGAACTCACAGAGTTTAACTTTCTTTTCATACAGTTGTTTCGAAACACTCTTTTTGCAGAATCTTCAAGTGGATATTTTTTTGGACTTCTTTGAAGTCTTCGTTGGAAACGGGATTTCTTCATATAATGCTGGACAGAAGAATTCTCAGTAACTGCTTTTTCTGGTTTGTATTCAACTCACAGAGTTGAACCTTCCTTTAGACAGAGCAGATTTGAAACTCTCTTTTTGTGGTATTTGCAAGTGGAGAATTCAAGTGCTTTGAGGCCAACGGTAGAAAAGGGAATATCTTCGTAGAAAAAATAGATGGAATCATTCTCAGAAACTGCTTTGTGATGTGTGCATTGAACTCACAGTGTTTAACACTTCTTTTCATAGAGCACTTTGGAAACACTCAGTTTGTATTGTCTGCAACTGGATATTTGGACCTCTTTGATGCATTTGTGGTAAACGGGATTTCTTCGTGTAATGATAGACAGTAGTATTCTCAGTGAATTTTTTTTTTTTGTGTGTATTCAACTCACAGGGTTGAACCTTCCCTTAGACAGTGCAGATTTGAAACACTTTTGTGGAATTTGCAAGGGGAGATTTCAAGCACCTTGAGGGCAGTGGTGGAAAAGGAAATATCTTCGTATAAAAACTAGACAGAATCATTCTCAGGAACTACTTTGTGATACGTGCATTCAACTCACAGTTTAACCTTTCTTTTCATAGATGAGTTTAGAAACAGTCAGTTTGTAAATTCTGCAACTGGATATTTGGACCTCTTTGAGGCTTTCGTTGGAAACGGGATTTCTTCACATAATGCTAGACAGAAGAATTCTCAGTAACTTCTTATGGGTTGTGTGTATTTAACTCAGAGAGTTGAACCTTCCTTTAGACAGAGCAGATTGGAAACACGCTTTTTGCAGAATTTTCAGGTGGAGATTTCAAGAGCTTTGAGGCCAATGGTAGAAAAGGCTATGTTCGTATAAAAACTAGACGGAATCATTCTCAGAAACTGCTTTGTGATGTGTGCATTAAACTCACAGAGCTGAACATTTCTTTTCATAGAGCAGTTTGGAAAGACTTAGTTTGTACAGTCTGCAAGTGGATATTTGGAACTTTTTGAGACCTTCGTTGGAAATGGGATTTCTTCTTATAATTCTTGACAAAAGAATTCTCAGTAGCTTCTTTGTGTGTGTGTGTATTCAACTCACAGAGTTGAACCTTCCTTTAGACAGAGCAGATTGGAAACACTCTTTTTGTGGAATTTGCAAGTGGAGAATTCTAGCGATTTGAGGCCAATGGTACAAAAGGAAATATCTTCGTATAAAAACTAGACAGTATCATTCTCAGAAACTACTTTGTGATGTGTGCGTTCAACTCACAGTGTTTACCCTTTCTTTTCATAGAGCAGTTTGGAAACACTCTGTTTGTGAAGTCTGCAAGTGGATATTTAAACGTCTTTGAGGCCTTCGTTGGAAACGGGATTTCTTTATATAAACCAGGACAGAAGAATTCTCAGAAACTTCTTGTTTGTTATGTGTGCATTCAACTCACAGAGTTGAACCTTACTTTGGAAAGAGCAGTTTTCTAACACTCTTTTTGTAAAAGTTCCAAGTGAATACTTTGAGTGCTTTGAAGCCTACGGTAGACAACGAAATATCTTCATGTAAAAACTACAAAGAATCATTCACAGAAACCACGTTGTGATCTCTGCATTCAACTCACAGAGTTGAACCTTTCTTCCTATAGAGCAGTTATGAAACACTCTCTTTGTAGAATTTGCAAGGGTGTATTTAGAGGGCGTTGAAGCCTACGGTAGAAAAAGAAATATCTTACCATAAAAACTAGACAGAAGCATTCTCAGAAACTGAGTTGTGATGTTTGCGTTCAACTCACAGAGTTCAACATTCCTTTTAATAGAGCGGTTTTGAAACACTCTATTTGCAGAATCTGCAAGTGGATATTTGGACCTCTTTGAGGCCTTCGTTGGAAACGGGATTTCTTCATGTAAATGCCAGACAGAAGAATTCTCAGTGAATTCTTTCTGTGTGTGTGTATTCAACTCACCGAGTTGAACGTTCCTTTAGACAGAGTAGATTGGAAACACTCTTTTTGTGGAATTTTCAGGTGGAGGTATCAAGCGCTTTGAGGCCAATGATAGAAAAGGAAATACCTTTGTATAATAATTAGACGGAATCATTCTCAGAAACTGCTTTGCAATGTGTGCGTTCAACTCACAGTGTTTAACCTTTCTTTTCATACAGTTGTTTCGAAACACTCTTTTTGCAGAATCTTCAAGTGGATATTTGGACCTCTTTGAAGTCTTCGTTGGAAATGGGATTTCTTCATATAATGCTAGACAGAAGACTTCTCAGTAACTGCTTTTTCTGGTGTGTATTCAACTCTCAGAGTTGAACCTTCCTTTAGAAACAGCAGATTTGAAACTCTCTTTTTGTGGTATTTGCAAGTGGAGAATTCAAGTGCTTTGAGGCCAACGGTAGAAAAGGAAATATCTTCGTAGAAAAAATAGACGGAATCATTCTCAGAAACTGCTTTGTGATGTGTGCATTGAACTCACAGTGTTTAACACTTCTTTTCATAGAGCACTTTGGAAACACTCAGTTTGTATTGTCTGCAACTGGATATTTGGACCTCTTTGAGGCATTCGTGGTAAACGGGATTTCTTCGTGTAATGATAGACAATAGAATTCTCAGTGAATTTTTTTCTGTGTGTGTGTATTCAACTCACAGGGTTGAACCTTCCTTTAGACAGTGCAGATTTGAAACACTTGTCTGTGGAATTTGCAAGGGGAGATTTCAAGCACTTTGAGGCCATTGGTGGAAAAGGGAATATCTTCGTATAAAAACTAGACAGAATCATTCTCAGGAACTACTTTGTGATATGTGCATTCAACTCACAGAGTTTAACCTTTCTTTTCATAGATGAGTTTGGAAACAGTCAGTTTGTGAATTCTGCAACTGGATATTTGGACCTCTTTGAGGCTTTCGTTGGAAACGGGATTTCTTCACATAATGCTAGACAGAAGAATTCTCAGTAACTTCTTTTGGGATGTATGTATTCAACTCAGAGAGTTGAACCTTCCTTTAGACAGAGCAGATTGGAAACCCTCTTTTTGCCGAATTTTCAGGTGGAGATTTCAAGAGCTTTGAGGCCAATGGTAGAAAAGGCTATCTTCGTATAAAAACTAGACGGAATCATTCTCAGAAACTGCTTTGTGATGTGTGTATTAAACTCACAGAGTTGAACATTTCTTTTCATAGAACTGTTTGGAAAGACTTAGTTTGTACAGTGTGCAAGTGTATACTTGGAACTCTTTGAGGCTTTCGTTGGAAACGGGATTTCTTATAATTCTTGACAAAAGAATTCTCAGTAGCTTCTTTGTGTGTGTGTACTCAACTCACAGAGTTGAACCTTCCTTTAGACAGAGCAGATTGGAAACACTCTTTTTGTGGAATTTGCAAGTGGAGAATTCTAGCGATTTGAGGTCAATGGTAGAAAAGGAAATATCTTCGTATAAAAACTAGACAGTATCATTCTCAGAAACTACTTTGTGATGTGTGTTCAACTCACAGAGTTTAACCTTTCTTTTCATAGAGCAGTTTGGAAGCACTCTGTTTGTGAAGTCTGGAAGTGGATATTTGAACGTCTTTGAGGCCTTCGGTGGAAACGGGATTTCTTCATATAAACCAGGACAGAAGAATTCTCAGAAACTTCTTGTTTGTTATGTGTGCATTCAACTCACAGAGTTGAACCTTACTTTGGAAAGAGCAGTTTTCTAACACTCTTTTTGTAAAATTTCCAAGTGCATACTTTGATTGCTTTGAAGCCTTTGGTAGACAATGAAATATCTGCATGTAAAAACTAGAAAGAATCATTCGCAGAAACCACGTTGTGATCTGTGCATTCAACTCACAGAGTTCAACCATTCTTTCTATAGAGCAGTTATGAAACACTCTCTTTGTAGAATTTGCAAGGGTGTATTTAGAGGGCATTGAAGCCTACGGTAGAAAAGGAAATATCTTACCATAAAAACTAGACAGAAGCATTCTCAGAAACTGAGTTGTGATGTTTGCGTTCAACTCACAGAGTTCAACATTCCTTTTAATAGAGCGGTTTTGAAACACTCTTTTTGCAGAATCTGCAAGTGGATATTTGGACCTCTTTGAGGCCTTCGTTGGAAACGGGATTTCTTTGTGTAATGATGGACAGTAGAATTCTAAGTAACTTCTTCGTGTTGTGTGTATTCAACTCACAGCGGTGAATCTTCCTTTAGACAGAGCAGATTTGAAACACTTTTTTGAGGAATTTGGAAGTGGAGATTTCAAGGGCTTTGAGGCCAATATTGGAAAAGGAAATATCTTCGTATATAAACTAGACAGAATCATTTTCAGAAACTACTTTGTGATGTGTGCTTTCAACTCACAGAGTTTAACCTTTCTTGTGATGGAGCATTTTGGAAACACTCTGTTTGTAAAGTCTGCAAGTGAATATTTAGACCTCTTTGAGACCTTTGTTGGAAACGGGATTTCTTCATATAATGCTAGACAGAAGAATTCTCAGTAACTACTTTGTATTGTGTGTATTCCACTCACAGAGTTGCACCTTCCTTTATTCAGAGCAGATTGGAAACACTCTTTTTGCGGAATGTTCAGTTGGAGATTTCAAGCGCTTTGAGGCCAATGGTAGAAAAGATATATCTTCGTAGAAAAAGTAGACTGAATGATTCTCAGAATCTGCTTTGTGATGTGTGCATTCAACTCACAGAGTTTAAGCTTTCTTTTCATAGTGCAGTTTGGAAACACTCTGTAAATTCTGCAACTGGATATTCGGACCTCTCTGAGGCCTTCATTGGAAACGGGATTTCTTTATATAATGCTAGACAGAAGAATTCTCAGTAACTTTTTTGTGTGTGTGTATTCAACCACAGAGTTGAAACTTCCTTTAGAAAGAGCAGATTGGAAACACTTTTTGTGGAATTTTCAGGTGGAGAGTTCAAGCGCTTTCAGGCCAATGGGAGAAAAGGCAATATCTTCGTATAAAAACTAGACGAAATCATTCTCAGAAACTACTTTGTTATGTGTGCATTCAACTCACAGATTTTAACAGTTCTTTTCATAGAGCAGTTTGGAAACCCTCTGTTTGTAAAGTCTTCAAGTGGATATTTTTACGGCTTTAAGGCCTACGTTGGAAACGGGATTTCTTCATATAAACCTAGGCAGAAGAATTCTGAGAATCTTCTTTTTGATGTGCATTCTACTCACAGAGTTGAACCTTTCTTTCGAAAGAGCAGTTTTCAAACACTCTTTTTGTGGAACTTCCATGTGCATACTTAGAGTGCTTTGAAGCCTACGGTAGACAAGAAAATATCTTTATGTAAAAACTAGACAGAATCATTCGCAGAAACCACGTTGTGATCTGTGCGTTCAACTCACAGAGTTCCACCTTTCTTTCCATAGAGCAATTATGAAACACTCTGTTTTTAGAATTTGCAAGGGTGGATTAAAGGGCTTTGAGGCCTATGGTAGAAAATTAATTATCTTACGATAAAAATTAAACACAAGCATTCTCAAAAACTAAGTTGTGGTATTTGTATTCAACTCACAGAGTTCAACATTCCTTTTGATAGAGTGGTTTTGATATACTCTTTTTGCAGAATCTTCAAGTGGATATTTGGACCTCTTTGAGGCCTTTTTGGAAACCGTATTTCTGCATATAATGGTAGATAGAAGAATTCTCTGTAACTTCTTTGTGTTGTGTGTATTCAACTCACAGAGTTGAACCTTCCTTTAGACAGAGCAGATGTGAAACTCTCTTTTTGTGGAATTTTCAGCTGGAGATTTCAAGCGCTTTGGGGCCAATGGTAGAAAAGGAAATATCTTCATATAAAAAGTAGACAGAATCATTCTCAGAAACTCCTTAGAGATTTGTGCGTTCAACTCACAGAGCTTAACCTTTGTTTTCATAGAGCAGTTTGGAAATACTATGTTTGTAAAATCTTCAAGTGGATATTTGGACCACTTTGAAGCCTTCGTTGGAAAAGAGATTTCTTCCTATAATGCTAGACAGAAGAATTCTCAGTAACTTCTTTGTGTGTGTGTATTCAACTCACAGAGTTGAACCTTCCTTTAGAGAGAGCAGATTGGAAACTCTCTTTTTCCGGAATTTTTAAGTGGAGATTTCAAAGGCTTTGAGGCCAATGATTGAAAAGGAAATATCTTCGTATAAAAAGTAGACAGAATCATTCCCAGAAACTACTTTGTGATGTGTGCGTTCATCTCACAAAGTTTCACCATTCTTTTGATAGAGCATTTTTGAAACACTCTGTTTACACATTCTGCATCTGCATATTTGGAGTGCTTTGAGGTTTTCTTTGTAAAAGGAAACATCTTCACATAAAAAGGGGACAGAAGTATTCTCAGAAACTCATTTGTGATGTCTGCACTCAACTCACAGAGGTGAACCTTCCTTTTCACAGACCGGTTTTGAAACAGTCTTTCTGTAGAATTTGCAAGTGAATATTATGAGTGCTTTGAGGCCTATGGTAGAAAAGGACATGTCTCCCCATAAAAACTAGACAGAACCATTCTGAGAAACTACTGTGTGATGTTTGCATTCAGCTCTCAGAGTTGAACATTACTCTTGATAGAGCAGTTTTGAAACACTCTTTTTGTAGAGTCTGCAAGTGGATATTTGGACCTCTTTGCAGCTTTTGTTTGAAACGGGATTTCTTCATATAAAACTTGACAGAAGAATTCTAAGAAACTTCTTTGTTATTTGTGCATTCAACTCACAGAAGTGAACGTTTCTTTCAATAGAGCAGTTTTGAAACAGTCTTTTTGTAGAATATCCAAGTGGATATTTATGAAGCTTTGAGGCCTATTTTAGAAAATGAAATATTTTCATATAAAAACTAGACAGAATCATTCTCAGAAACTACATTGGGATGTGTGCATTCAACTCACTGGTTTTACCCTTTCTTTTTATAATGCAGCTATGAAACACTCTTTTTGAAGAATTTGCAAGTGTGTATTTAGAGCTCTTTGAGGTCTATGGTAGAAAAGGAAATAGCTTCACAGAAAATCTAGGCAGAGGCATTATCAGAAACTACTTTGTAAAATTTGCATTCAACTCACAGAGTTCAGCATTCTTCTTGATAGAGCAGTTTTGAAACACTCTTTTTGTAGAATCTGCAAGTCGATATTTGGACCTATTTGAGGAATTCATTGGAACCGGGATTTCTTCATATAAAACCAGACAGAAGAATTATAATAAACGTCTTTGTGATGTGTGCATTCAACTCACAGAAGTGAACATTCCTTTCAATAGAGCACTTTTGCAACACTGTTTTTGTAGAATATTCAATCGGATATTTAGGGCGATTTGGGGCCTATCGTAGAAAAGGAAATATCTTCATATAAAAACTAGACAGAATCATTCTGAGAATGTTCTTTGTGATGTGTGCATTCAACTCACTGAGTTTACCCTTACTTTTTATAGAGCAGTTTTGAAACACTCTTTTTGTATAATTTGCAAGTGTGTATTTAGAGGTCTTTGAGGCCAATGGTAGAAAAGGTAATATCTTCATATAAAATCTAGACAGAAGCATTCTCAGGAACTACTTTGTGATGTCTGCATTCAGCTCAAGGAGTTGAACATTCCTTTTGATAGAGGAGATTTGAAACACTCTTTTTGTAGAATTTCCAAGTGGATATTTAGAGCGCTTTGAATCCTACGGTAGAAAAGGAGGTATCTTCATATAAAAACTAGACAGAATCATTCCCAGAAGCTACTTTGTGATGTGTGCCTTCAACTCACAGAGTTTAACCTTTCTTTTGATAGAATAGTTTTGAAACACTCTGTTTGTGAAGTCTGCATCTGGATACGTGGGGCGATTTGTGGTTTTCTTTGGAAATGGGAATATCTTCACATAAAAACTAGAACAAAATATTCTCAGAAACTTCTTTGTGATGTATACACTCAACTCACAGAGGTGAAGCTTCCTTATGACAGAGCAGTTTTGAAACACTCTTTTTGTAGTGTTTGCAAGTGGATATTTTGAGCACTTTGAGGCCTAGTGTAGAAAAGGAGATATCTTCACAGGAAAAGTAGACAGAACCATTCTCAGAAACTACTTTGTGATGTTTGCATTCAACTCACAGAACTGAACATTCCTCTTGATAGAGTAGTTTTGAAACACTCTTTTTGTAGAGTCTGCAAGTGGATATTTGGACCTCTTTGAGGAATTCATTGGAAACGGGATTTCTTCATATAAAACTAGACAGAAGAATTGTAAGAAACTTCTTTCTTTGTGATGTGTGCATTCAACTCACAGAGGTGAACGTTCCTTTCAATAGAGCAGTTTTGCAACACTCTTTTTGTAGAATATCCAAGTGGATATTTGGGGCACTTTGAGGCCAATGGTAGAAAAGGAAATATCTTCATATAAAAACTAGACGGAATCATTCTCAGAAACTACCTTGTGATGGGTGCATTCAACTCACTGGGTTTACACTTTCTTTTTCTAGAGCAGTTTTGAAACACTCTTTTTGTAGAATCTGGTATTGGATATTTGGAACTCTTTGAGGAATTCGTTGGAAATGGGTTTTCTTCATATAAAACTAGACAGAAGAATTCTCAGAAGCTTCTTTGTGATATGTGCATTCTACTCACAGAGTTGAACCTAACTTTTGATAGAACAGATTTGAAACACTCTTTTTGTAGTATTTCCAAGTGGATATTTAGAGCGCTTTTTATCCTGTGGTAGAAAAGGAAGTATCTTCATATAAAAACTAGACAGAAACAATCCCAGAAAGTACTTTGTGATGTGTGCCTTCAACTCAAAGAGTTTAACCTTTCTTTTGGTAGAGCAGATTTGAAACTCTCTGTTTGTGAAGTCTGCATCTGGATATTTGGAGCGCTTTGACGTTTTCTCTGGAAACGGAAGTATCTTCACATAAAAAGTAGAAAGAAATATTCTCAGAAACTCCTTTGTAATGTCTGCACTCAACTCACAGAGGTGAACCTTCCTTTTGACAGAGCAGTTTTGAAACTCTCTTTTTGTAGGGGTTGCAAGTGGATATTTTGAGCGCTTTGAGGCCTATTGTAGAAAAGGAGATATCTTCACATAAAAATTAGACAGAACCATACTCAGAAACTACTTTGTGATGTTTACATTCAACTCACAGAGTTGAACATTCCTCTTGACAGAGCAGTTTTGAAACACTCTTTTTGTAGAGTCTGCAAGTTTATATTTGGACCTCTTTGAGGCCTTCGTTGGTAACGGGAATTCTTCATATAAAACTAGACAGAAGATTTCTCAGAAACTTCTTTGTGACGTGTGCATTCAACTCATGGAGGTGAAAGTTCCTTTTTATAGAGCAGTTTTGCATCACTGTTTTTGTAGTATATCCAAGTGGGTATTTAGGGCGCTTTGAGGCCTTTGGTAGAAAGGGAAATATCTTCATATAAAAACTAGACAGAATCATTCTGAGAAACTACTTTGTGATGTGTGCATTCAACTCAATGAGTTTACCCTTTCTTTTTATAGAGCAGTTTTGAAACACTCTTTTTGTAGAATTTCCAAGTGTGTATTTAGAGCTCTTTGAGGCCTCTCATAGAAAAGTAAGTATCTTCACATAAAATCTAGACAGAAGCATTCTCAGAAACTACTTTCTGATGTTTGCATTCAACTCACAGAGTTGAGCATTCCTCTTGACAGAGCAGTTTTGAGACACTCTTTTTGTAGAATCTGCAAGTGGATATTTGGACCTCTTTGAGGAATTTGTAGGAAACGGGATTTCTTCATATAAAACTAGACAGAAGAATTCTCAGAAACTTCTTTGTGATGTGTGCATTCAACTCACAGAGTTGAACCTTACTTTTGACAGAGCAGATGTGAAGAACTCTTTTTGTAGAATTTCCAAGTGGATATTAAGAGCGCTTTGAATCCCATGGTAGAAAAGGAAGTATCTTCTTATAAAAACTAGACAGAATCAATCCCAGAGACTACTTTGTCATGTGTGTGTTCAGCTCACAGAGTTTAACCTTTCTTTTGATAGAGCGGTTTTGAAACCCACTGAAACTACTTTGTGATGTGTGCTTTCAACTCACAGAGTTTAACATTTCTTTTGATAGAGCAGTTTGGAACACACTTTTTGTACGACTTGCAAGTGTATATTTAGAGTGCTTTGAGCCCTAAGGAAGAAAAGGAAATATCTTCATGTAAAAACTAGACAGAAGCATTCCCAGAAACTATTTTGTGATGTTTGCATTCAACTCAGGGAGTTGAACATTCCTCTTGATAGAGCAGTTTTGAAACCCTCTTTTTGTAGAATTTCCAAGTGGATATTTAGATCGGTTTGAGGCCTTCGGTAGAAAAGGAAATATCTTCAGACAAAAACTAGACAGAATGATTCTCAGAAACTACTTTTTGATGTGTGCATTCAACTGACAGAGTTTAAGCTTTCTTTTGATAGAGCTGTTTTGAAACACACTTTTTGTGGAAATTGCAAGTGAATATTAGAGTGCTTTCAGGCCTATGGAAGAAAAGGAAATATCTTCACATAAAAACTAGACAGAAGCGTGCTCAGAAACTATTTTGTGATGTTTGCATTCAACTCACAGAGTTGAACATTCCTCTTGATAGAGCAGTTTTGAAACACTCTTTTTGTTGAATCTGCAAGTGGATATTTGGAGCTCTTTGAGGCCTACGTTGAAAACTTTATTACTTCATATAAAACTAGACAGAAGAATTCTCAGAAACTTCTATGTGATGTGTGCATTGAACTCAGAGTTGAACTTTCCCTTCGATAGAGCAGTTTCGAAACACTCTTTTTGTCGGAGTTCCAAGTGAATATTTAGAGCGCTTTGCCTCCTATGGTAGAAAAGGAGATATCTTCACAGAAAAACTAGGCAGAATGATTATAAGAAACTACTTTGTGATGTGTGTGTTCAACTGAAAGAGTTAAACTTTTTGTTTGATAGAGCAGTTTTGAAACACTGTTTTTGTAGGATTTGCAAGTGGATATTTAGAGCGCTTTGAGGCCTATGGTAGAAAAGGAAATATCTTCATATAAAAACTAGACAGAATCATTCTCTGAAACTACTTTGTGATGTGTGCGTTCAAGTGACAGAGGTTAACATTTCTTTTGATACAGCAGTTTTGAAACACTCTGTTTGTAATGTCTGCAAGTGGATATTTGGAGCACTTTGTGGCCTTCTTTGGAAACGGAAATATCTTCACATAAAAAGTAGACAGAAATATTCCCAGAAACTTCTTTTTGATGTCTGCAGTCAACTCACAGAGTTGAACGTTCGTTTTCCTAGAGCAGTTTTGAAACACTGTTTTTGTAGAATTTTCAAGTGGATATTTACAACGCTTTGGGGCCTATGATGTAAAAGGAAATATGGTCATAGCATAACTACACGGAAACATTCTCAGAAACTACTTTGTGATGGGTGGGTTCAACTCACAGAGTTTAAACTTTTTTTTGATAGAACAGGTTTGAAACACTCTTTTTGTAGAATTTGCAAGGTTATATTTAGAGTGCTTTGAGGCCAATGGTAGAAAAGGAAATATCTTCACATAAAAACTAGACAGAAGCATTTTCAGAAACTACTTTGTGATGTTTGCATTCAACTCACAGAGTTGAACATTCCTCTTGAGAGAGTCGTTTTGAAACAATCTTTTTGTACAATCTGTAAGTGGATATTTGGACCTCTTTGAGGCCTTCATTGGAAACGGGGTTTCGTCTTATAAAACTAGACAGAAAAATTCTCAGAAACTTCTTTGTGATGTGTGCCTTGAACTCACAGAGTTGAACCTTTTGATAGAGCAGTTTTGAAACCCTCTTTTTGTAGAATTTCCAAGTGGATATTTAGATCTGTTTGAGGCCTACGGTAGAAAAGGCTATATCCTCGTAGAAAAACTAGACCGAACGATTCTTAGAGACTACTTTGTGATGTGTGCGTTCAACTCACAGTTTAAACTTTCTTTTGATAGAGCAGCTTTGAAACCGTCCTTTTGTAGAATTTGCACGTGTGTATTTAGAGCGGTTTGATGCCTAAAGTAGAAAAGGAAATATCTTCATAGAAAAACTAGACAAAATGATTCTCAGAGACTAATTTGCGATGTGTGAGGTCAACGCACAGAGTTTAAACTTTTGATAGATCTGTTTTGTATATCAGTCTTTTTGTAGAATTTGCATGTGTGTATTTAGAGGGCTTTAAGGCCTGTGGTAGAAAAGGAAATATCTTCATATAAAAAATAGACAGAAGAATTCTCAAAAACTTGTTTATGATGTTTGCATTCTACTCACAGATTTGAATATTCCTCCAGATAGAGCGGTTTTGAAATTCTCTTTGTGTAGAATCTGGAAGTGGATATTTGGACCTCTTTAAGGCCTTCATTGGAAACGGGATTTCTTCATATAAAATTAGAAGAATTCTCAGTAACATTTTTGTGATGTGTTCATTCAATTCACAGAGTTTAAACTTTCTTTTGATAGAGTAGTTTTGAAACGCTCTTTTGGTAGAATTTGCAAGTGTATATTTACAGCACTTTGATGTCTACTGTAGAAAAGGAAATATCTTCATATAGAAACTAGACAGAAGCATTCTCAGAAAGTACTTAGTGATGTTTGCATTCAACTCACAGAGCTGAACATTCCTCATTATAGAGTAGTTTTGAAACGATCATTAATAGAATCTGTAAGTGGATATTTGGACCTCTTTGAGGTCTTCGTTGGAAACGGGAATTCTTCATATAAAACTATACAGAAGAATTCTCAGAAACTTCTATGTGATGTGTGCATTGAACTCACAGAGTTGAACTTTGATAGAGCAGTTTCAAAACACTCTTTTTGTAGAAGTTCCAGGTGAGTATTTAGAGCACTTTGAGTCCTATAGTAGAAAAGGAAATATATTCACAGAAAAACTAGACAGAATGATTCTCAGAAAATACTTTGTGATGTGTGTGTTCAACTCACAGAGTTAAACTTTTCTTTTGATAGAGCTGTTTTGAAACACTGTTTTAATAGGATTTGCAAGTGGATATTTAGAGCGTTTTGAGGCCTATTGTAGAAAAAGAAATATCTTCATATTAAAACCAGACAGAATCATTCTCCAAAACTACTTTGTGATGTGTGCTTTCAACTGACATAGGTTAACCTTTCTTTTGATAGAGCAGTTTTGAAACACTCTGTTGTAAAGTCTGCAAGTGGATATTTGGAGCACTATGTGGTCTTATTTGGAAACGGAAATATTTTCATATAAAAAGTAGACAGAAGTATTCCCAGAAAATTCTTTGTGATGTCTGCACTGAACTCACAGAGTTGAACCTTCCTTTTGCTGGAGCAGTTTTGAAACACTGTTTTTCTAGAATTTGCAAGTGGATATTTAAAGCATTTTGGGGCCTATCATGTAAAAGGAAATATGTTCATAGAAAAACTACACAGAAACATTCTCAGAAACTACTTTGTCATGGGTGGGGTCAACTCACAGAGTTTAAACTTTCTTTTGATAGAGCAGCTTTGAAACATTCTTTTTGTAGAATTTGCAAGTGTATATTTAGAGTGCTTTGAAGCCTAGGGTAGAAAAGGAAATATCTTCACATAAAAACTAGACAGAAGCATTCTCAGAAACTACTTTGTGATGTTTGCATTCAACTCACAGAGTTGAACATTCCTCCTGATAGAGCCGTTTTGAAACAATCTTTTTTTACAATCTGTAAGTGGATATTTGGACCTCTTTGAGGCCTTCATTGGAAACGGGATTTCTTCTTATAAAACTAGACATAAGAATTCCCAGAAACTTCTTTGTGATGTGTGCCTCGAACTCACAGAGTTGAACCTTCCTTTTGACAGAGCAGTTTTGAAATCCTCTTTTTGTAGAATTTCCAGGTGGATATTTAGATCGGTTTGAGGCCTATGGTAGAAAAGAAAATATCTTCATAGAAAAACTAGACCGAATGATTGTCAGAGACTACTTTGTGATGTGTGCATTCAACTCACAGAGTTAAAACTTTCTTTTGATAGAGCAGCTTTGAAAGAGTCCTTTTGTAGAATTTGCAAGTGTGTATTTAGAGAGGTTTGAGGCTTAAGGTAGAAAAGGAAATATCTTCATAGAAAAACTAGACAGAATGATTCTCAGAAACTAATTTGCGATGTGTGCGGTCAACGCACAGAGTTTAAACTTTCTTTTGATAGAGCAGTTTTGAAACAGTCTTTTTGTAGAATTTGCAAATATGTGTTTAGAGGGCTTTGAGGCCTGTGGTAGAAAAGGAAATATCTTCATATAAAAAATAGAAGCATTCTCAGAAACTCGTTTGTGATGTTTGCATTCTACTCACAGATTTGAATATTCCTCCGGATAGAGCAGTTTTGAAACACTCCTTTTGTAGAATCTTCAAGTGGATATTTGGACCTCTTTAAGGCCTTCGTTGGAAATGGGATTTCTTCATATAAAATTAGAAGAATTCTCAGTAACTTTTTTGTGATGTGTGCATTCAATTCATAGAGTTTAAACTTTCTTTTGATAGAGCAGTATTGAAATGCTCTTTTGGTAGAATTTGCAAGTGTATATTTACAGCACTTTGAGGCCTACTGTAGAAAAGGAAATATCTTCATATAGAAACTAGACAGAAGCATTCTCAGAAACCACTTAATGATGTTTGCATTCAACTCACAGAGCTGAACATTCCTCATTATAGAGCAGTTTTGAAACACTCCTTAGTAGAATCTGTAAGTGGATATTTGGACCTCTTTGAGGCCTTCATTGGAAACGGGATTTATTCATATAAAACTATACAGTAGAATTCTCAGAAACTTCTTTGTGATGTGTGTATTCAACTCACAGAGTTGAACCTTCCTTTCGATAGAGCAGTTATGAAACACTCTTTTTGTAGAATTTCCAAGTGGATATTTTGGTCGGTTTGAGGCCTATGGTAGAAAAGCCAATATCTTCACAGAAAAACTAGACAGAATGATTCTCAGAAACTACTTTGTGATGTGTGCGTTAAACTCACAGAGTTTAATCTTTCTTTTGATAGAGCAGTTTTGAAACACACTTTTTGTAGTATTTGAAAGCGTATATTTAGAGTGCTTTCAGGCCTATGGAAGAAAAGGTATTATCTTCATATAAAAACTAGACAGAATCATTCTCCTAAACTAATTTGTGATGTGTGCGTTCAACTCACAGAATTTAACCTTTCTTTTGATATAGCAGTTTTGAAACCCTGTCTTTGTAAAGTCTGCAAGTAGATATTTGGAGCGCTTTGAGGCCTTCTTTCGAAACGGAAGTATCTTCACATAAAAAGAAGACAGCAGTATTCCCAGAAACTTCTTTGTGATGTCTGCACTCAACTCACAGAATTAAACCTTTCCTTTGATAGAGGAGTTTTGAAACACTCTTTTTGTAGAATTTGCAAGTGGATATTTAAGGCACTTTGGGGCCTTCGGTGGAAAAAAATTATGTTCATAGAAAAACTACCCAGAAGCATTCTTAGAAACTACTTAGTGACATTGGCATTCAACTCACAGAGCTGAACATTCCTCATTATACAGCAGTTTTGAAACCCTCCTTGTGTAGAATCTGCAAATGGATATTTAGACCTCTTTGAGTTCTTCGTTGGAATCAGGATTTCTTCATACAAAACTAGACAGAAGCATTCTCAGAGACTTCTTTGTGATGTGTGCATTCAACTCACTGTGTTGAACCTTCCTTTCGATAGAGCAGTTTTGAAATACACTTTTTGTAGAGTTTCCAAGTGGATATTTAGATCGATTTGAGGCCTATAGTAGAAAAGGAAAAATCTTCATAGAAAAAGTAGACAGAATGATTCTCAGAAACTACTTTGTGATATGTGCGTTCAACTGATGGAGTTTAACCTTTCTTTTGTTAGAGCAGTTTTGAAACAATCTGTTTGTAAAGTCTGCAAGTGGATATTTGGAGCGCTTTGAGGCCTTCGTTGGAAACGGGTGTATCTTCACATAAAAAGTAGACAGAAGTATTCCCAGAAACTTCTTTGTGATGTCTGCACTCAACTCACAGAGTTGAACCATCCTTTTGATAGAGCAGTTTTGAAACACTCATTTTGTAGAATTTTCAAGTGGATATTTATAGCGCTTTGGGGCCATTGGTGGAAAAGGAAATATGTTCATAGAAAAAGTACACAGAAACATTCTCAGAAACTACTTTGTGATGGGTGGGTTCAACTCACAGAGTTTAAACTTTCTTTTGATAGAACAGCATTGAAACACTCTTTCTGTAGAACTTGTAATTGTATATTTAGGGTGCTTTGAGGCCTATGGAAGAAAAGGAAATATCTTCACATAAAAACTAGACAGAAGCATTCTCAGAAATTATTTCATGATGTTTGCATTCATCTCACAGAGTTGAAGATTCCTCTTGATAGAGCAGTTTTTGAAACACTCTTTTTGTAGAATTGCAAGTGGATATTTGGACCTCTTTGAGGCCTTCGTTGGAAACGAGATTACTTCATATAAAACTAGACAGAAGAATTCTCAGAAACTTTTTTTGTGATGTGTGCATTGAACTCACATAGTTGAACCTTCCATTCTATAGAGCAGTTTTGAAACACTCTTTTTGTAGAAGTTCCATATGAATATTTAGAGTGCTTTGGGTCCTGCGGTAGAAAAGGAAATATCTTCATAGAAAAGCTAGACAGAATGATTCTCAGAAACTACTTTGTGATGTGTGTGTTCAACTCACAGAGTTAAACTTTTCTTTTGATAGAGCAGTTTTGAAACACTGTTTTTGTAGGAGTTGCAAGTGGATATTTAGATCACTTTGAGACCTATTGTAGAAAAGGAAATATCTTCATATAAAAACTAGACAGAATCTTTCTCCGAAACTACTTTGTGATGTGTGCGTTCAACTCACAGAGTTTAACATTTCTTTTGATAGAGCAGTTTTGAAATCCTCTTTTTGTAAAGTCTGCAAGTAAATATTTGGAGCGCTTTGCGGCCTTCTTTGGAAACGGGAGTATCTTCATATAAAAAGACGACAGTAGTATTCCCAGAAACTTCTTTGTGATGTCTGCACTCAACTCACAGAGTTAAACCTTCCTTTTGATAGAGAAGTTTTGAAACACTCTTTTTTGTACAATTTGCAAGTGGATATTTAAAGCGTTTTGGGACCAAAGGTGGAAAAAATATATTCATACAAAAACACAGGAGCATTCTCAGAAACTACTTAGTGATGTTTGCATTCAACTCACACAGCTGAACATTCCTCATTATAGAGCAATTTTGAAACACTCCTTTTGTACAATCTGCAAGTGGATATTTGGACCTCTTTGAGGCTTTCGTTGGATATGGGATTTCTTCATATAAAACTAGACGGAAGAATTCTCAGAAACTTTTTGTGATGTTTGCATTTAACTCACAGAGATGAACCTTCCTTTCGAAAGAGAAGTTTTGAAACCCTCTTTTTGTAGAATTTCCGAGTGGAAATTTAGGTCGGTTTGAGGCCTATGGTAGAAAAGGACATATCTTTATAGAAAAACTAGACAGAATCATTCTCAGAAACTACTTTGTGATGTGTGCATTCAATTCAGAGTTTAACATTTCTTTTGATAGTGCAGTTTTGAAACACAATTTTTGTAGAATTTGCAAGTGTATATATAGAATGCTTTGAGGCCTATGGAAGAAAAGGGAACATCTTCACACAAAAACTAGACAGAAGCATTCTCAGAAACTATTTTTTGATGTTTGCATTCACCTCGCAGAGTTGAACATTCCTGTTGATAGAGCAGTGTTGAAACACTATTTTTGTAGAATCTGCAAGTGGATATTTGGACCAATTTGAGGCCTTCATTGGAAACGGGATTACTTCATAGAAAACTATACTGAAAAATTCTCAGAAACTTCCTTATGATGTGTGCATTGAACTCACGGAGTTGAACCTTCCCTTCTGTAGAGCAGTTTTGAGACACTCTTTTGGTAGATGTTCCAAGTGAATATTTATAGCGCTTTGAGTCCTATGGTAGAAAAGGAAATATCTTCATAGAAAAACTAGGCAGAATGATTCTCAGAAACTACTTTGTGATGTGTGTGTTCAACTTACAGAGTTTAACCTTTCTTTTGATACTGCAGTTTTGAAACCCTCTGTTTGTAAAGTCTGCAAGTAGATTTTTTGAGTGCTTTGAGGCCTTTGTTGGAAACGGGAGTATCTTCTCATAAAAAGAAGACAGTAGTATTCCCAGAAACTTCTCTGTGATGTCTGCACTCAACTCACAGAGTTAAACCTTGCTTTGTTAGAGGAGTTCTGAAACACTCTTTTTGTACAATTTGCAAGTGGATATTTAAAGTGCTTTGGGGCCAATGGTGGAAAAAAATCTATGTTCATAGAAAAACTACACAGAAGCATTCTCAGAAACTACTTAGTGATGTTTGCATTCAACTCACAGAGCTGAACAATCCTCATTATAGAACAGTTTTGAAACACTCCTTTTGTAGAAACTGCAAGTAGATATTAGGACCTCTTTGAGGCCTTCGTTGGAAAAGGGATTTCTTCATATAAAACTAGACAGAAGAATTCTCAGAAACTTCTTTGTGATGTGTGGGTTCAACTCACAGAGTTTAACATTTCTTTTGACAGAGCAGTTTTGAAACACTCTTTTTGTAGAATTTCCAAGTGGATATTTAGAACAGTTTGAGGCCTATGGTAGAAAACGAAATATCTTCAGAGAAAAACTAGACAGAATGATTCTCAGAAACTACTTTGTGATGTGTGTGTTCAACTGACAGTGTTTAATATTTCTTTTGATAGAGTAGTTTTGAAACACACTTTTTGTAGAATTTGTGAGTGTATATTTAGAGTGCTTTGAGGCCTATGGAAGAAAAAGGAAATATCTTCACATAAAAACTAGACAGAAGCATTCTCTGAAACTATTTTGTCATGTTTGCATTCAACTCACAGAGTTGAACATTCCTCTTGATAGAGCAGTTTTGAAACACTCTTTTTGTAGAATCTGCAAGTGGATATTTGGACCTCTTTGAGGCCTTCGTTGGAAATGGGATTACTTCATAGAAAACTAGACAGAATAATTCTCAGAAACTTCTTTGTGATGTGTGCATTGAACTCACAGAGTTGAAACTTCCCTTCTATAGAGCAGTTTTGAAACACTCTTTTTGTAGAAGTTCCAAGTGAATATTTAAAGCGTTTTGAGTCCTATCGTAGAAAAGGAAATATCTTCATAGAAAAACTTGGCGGAATGATTACCAGAAACTACTTTGTGATCTGTGTGCTGAACTCACAGAGTTAAACTTTTCTTTTGATAGAGCAGTTTTGAAACACTGTTTTTGTAGGATTTGCAAGTGGATATTTAGAGTGCTTTGAGGCCTATGGTAGAAAAGGAAATACCTTCACATAAAAACTAGACAGAATCATTCTCCAAAACTACTCTGTGATGTGTGTGTTCAACTCACAGAGTTTAAAATTTCTTTTGATAGAAAAGTTTTGAAATCCTCTGTTTGTAAAGTCTGCAAGTAGATATTTGGAGCGCTTTGAAGCCTTCTTTGGAAACGGGAGTATCTTCACATAAAAAGAAGACCGTATTATTCCCAGAAACTTCTTTGTGATGTCTGCACTCAACTCACAGAGTTAAACCTTCCTTTTGATAGAGGAGTTTTGAAACACTCTTTTTGTAGAATTTGCAAGTGGATATTTAAAGTGCTTTGGGGCATAAGATTGAAAAAAAAAGTGTGTTCATAGAAAAACTACACAGAAACATTCTCAGAAACTACTTAGTGATGTTTGCATTCAACTCACAGAGCTGAACATTCCTTATTATAGAGCAGTTTTGAAACACTTCTTTTGTAGAATCTGCAAGTGGATAGTTGGACCTCTTTGAGGCCTTCGTTGGAAATGGGATTTCTTCATATAAAAGAAGACAGAAGAATTCTCAGAAACTACTTTGTGATGTGTGCATTCAATCACAGTTTTGAAACTTCCCTTCTATAGAGCAGTTTTCATATACTCTTTTTGTAGAAGTTCCAAGTGAATATTTAGAGTGCTTTGAGTCCTATGGTAGAAAAGGAGATATCTTCATAGAAAAACTAGGCAGAATGATTCTCAGAAACTACTTTGTTATGTGTGCGTTCAACTGACAGAGTTTAACATTTCTTTTGATAGAGCAGTTTTGAAACGCTCTTTTTGTAGGATTTGCAAGTTTGTATTTAGAGGGCTTTGAGGCCTATGGTAAACACGAAATATCTTCATATAAAAACTAGACAGAAGTATTCTCAGAAACTAATTTGTGATGTTTGCTTTCAGCTCACTGAGTTCAACATTCCTTTTGATAGAGCAGTTTTGAAACACTCTTTTTGTAGAATCTGCAAGTGGGTATTTGGACCTCTTTGTGGCCTTCGTTGGAAATGGGAATTCTTCATATAAACAAGAAAGAAGAATTCTCAGAAATTACTTTGTGATGTGTGGGTTCAACTCACAGAGTTTAACATTTCTTTTGATAGAGTAGTTTTGAAACACTCTTTTTGTAGAATTTCCAAGTGGATGTTTAGAGCACATTGGGGCTCATGGTAGAAAAGGAAATATCTTCATAGAAAAACTGGACAGAATCTTTCTCAGAAACTACTTTGTGATGTTTGGATTCAACTCACAGAGGTGAGCATTTCTCTTGATAGAGCAGTTTTGAAACAACATTTTTGTAGATTCTGCAAGTGTATCTTTGGACCTCATGGAGGCTTTCGTTGGAAAAGGGATTTCTTCATATAAAAGTAGACAGAAGAATTCTCAGAAACTTCTTTTTGATGGGTCCATTGAACACACAGTGTTGAACTTTCCTTTCAATAGAGCAGTTTTGAAACACTCTTTTTGTAGAATTTGCAACTGTATATTTGGAGCGCTTTGATGTCTATGGTACAAAAGGAAAAATCTTCATATAAAAACTAGACAGAAGCATTCTCAGAAACTACTTTGTGATGTTTGCAGTCAACTCACAGAGTTGAACATTCCTCCTGATAGAGCAGTTTTGAAACACTCTTTTTATGGAGTCTGCAAGTTGATATTTGGACCTATTTGAGGCCTTCTTTGGAAATGGGATTATTCATATAAAACTAGACAGACGAATTCTTAGAATCTTTTTTGTGATGTGTGCATTGAACTCACAGATTTGAACCTTCCTTTCGATAGAGCGGTTTCGAAACACTCTTTTTGCAGAATTTCCAAGTGAATGTTTAGAGCACTTGGAGGCCTATGGTAGAAAAGGAAATATCTTCATAGAAAAACTAGACAGAAGCATTCTCAGAAACTACTTTGTGAAGTTTGCATTCAACTCACAGAGTTGAACATTCCTCTTGATAGAGCAGTTTTCAAACACTCTTTTTGTAGAATCTGCCAGTGGATATTTGGACCTCTTTGAGGCCTTCCTTGGAAACGGGATGTCTTCATATAAAACTAGACAGAAGAATTCTCAGAAACTACTTTGTGATGAGTGCGTTCAACACACAGATTTTAAACTTTCTTTGATAGAGTAGTTTTGAAACACTCTTTTGTAGTATTTGCATGTGTATATTTAGAGCGCTTTGAGGCCTATGGTAGAAAAGGAAATATCTTCACATAAAAACTAGACAGAAGCATTCTCAGAAACTAATTTGTGATGTGTGAATTCAACTCACAGAGGTGATCTTTCCTTTTCAGAAAGAAGTTTCGAAACCCTCTGTTTGTGAAGTCTGCATGTAGATATTTGGAGGCCTTTGAGGCCTTCTTTGGAAATGGGAGTATCTTCCCATAAAAAGTAGACAGAAGAATTCTCAGAAACTTCTTTATGATGTCTGCACTCAACTCACAGTCTTGAGCCTTCCTTTTCATAGAGCACTTTTGAAACACTCTTTTTGTAGAATTTACAAGTGTATATTAGGAGCACTTTGAGGCCTATGGTAGAAAAGGAAATATCTTCACATAAAAACTAGACAGAACCATACTGAGAAACTACTTTGTGATGTTTGCATTCAACTCACAGAGTTGAACATTCCTCTTGATAAAGCAGTTTTGAAACTATCTTTTTGTACAATCTGCAAGTTCATATTTGGACCTTTTTGAGTCCTTCTTGGGAAACGGGATTTCTTCATATAAAACTAGACAGAAGTACTCTCAGAAACTTTTTTGTGATGTCTGTCACTCAACTCACAGAGTTGAACCTTGCTTTTGATAGAGCAGTTTTGAAACACTCTTTTTGTAATATTTGCAAGTGGATATTTAGAGCGTTTTGAGGCCTATGGTAGGAAAGGAAATATCTTCATATAAAAACTACACAGAATCATTCTCAGAAATTAATTTGTGATGTTTGCGTTCAACTCACAGAGTTTAACCTTTCTTTCAATAGACGAGTTTTGAAACCCTCTGTTTGTAAAGTCTGCAAGTAGACATTTGGAGCGCTTTGAGGCCTTCTTTGGAAACGGGGGTATGTTCACATAAAAATTAGACAGAAGTACTCTCAGAAACTTCTTTGTGATGTGTGCATTTAACTCACAGAATTGAACGTTCCTTTCAATAGAGCAGTTATGAAACACTCTTTTTGTAGAATTTCCAAGTGGATATTTAGAGCGCTTTGAGTCCTATGGTAGAAAAGGAAATATCTACATATAAAAACTAGACAGAATCATTCTCAGAAACTACTTTGTTATGTGTGTGTTCAACTCACAGAGCTTAGCCTGCCTTTTGATAGAGCAGTTTTGAAACTCTCTGTGTGAAAAGTCTGCAGGTGGATATTTGGAGCGCTTTGAGGCCTTCTTTGGAAACGGGAGTATCTTCACATAAAAAGTAGATAGAAATATTCTCAGAAAGTAGTTTGTGATGTTTGCATTCAACTCACAGAGTTGAACATTACTCTTGTTAGAGCAGTTTTGAAACACTCTTTTTGTAGAATCTGCAAGTGGATATTTGGACCTCTTTGAGGACTTTGTTGGAAACGGGATTTCTTCATATAAAAGTAGACAGAAGAATTCTCAGAAACTTCTTTGTGATGTGTGCATTCACCGCACAGAGTTGAACCTTGCTTTCAATAGAGAAGTTTTGAAACACTCTTTTTGTAGAATTTCCAAGTGGATATTTAGAGCGCTTTGTGGCTTATGGTAGAAAAGGAAATATCTTCATAGAAAAACTAGACAGAATCATTCTCAAAAACTACTTTGTGAAGTGTGCGTTCAACTCAAAGAGTTTAACCTTTCTTTTGATAGAGCAGTTTTGAAACACTCTATTTGCAAAGTCTGCAAGTGGACACTTGGAGCGCTTTGAGGCCTTCTTTGGAAAAGGGAATATCTTCACATAAAAAGTAGACAGAAGCATTATCAGAAACTTATTTGTGATGTCTGCATTCAACTCACAGAGGTGAGCCTTCCATTTGATAGAGCAGTTTTGATACACTCTTTTTGTAGAATTTGCAAATGGATATTTAGAGCGCTTTGGGGCCTATGGTGGAAAAGGAAATGTGTTCAAAGAAAAACTAGTGGGAATCATTCTCAGAAAGTGCTTTGTGATGTGTGGGTTCAACTCACAGTGTTTAACCTTTCCTTTGATAGAACAGTTTTGAAACACTCTTTTGGTAGAATTTGGAAGCGTATATTTAGAGCACTTTGAGGCCTATGGTAGAAAAGGAAATATCTTCACATAAAAACTGGACAGAAGCATTCTCAGAAACTACTTTTGATGTTTGCATTCAAGTCACAGAGTTGAACATTCCTGTTGATAGAGCAGTTTTGAAACACTCTTTTTGTAGAATCTGCAATCCGATATTTGGATCCCTTTGAGGCCTTCGTTTGAAACGTGATTTCTTCATATAAAACTAGACAGAAGAATTCTCAGAAACTTCTTTGTGCTCTGTGCATTCAACTCACAGAGTTGAAACTTCCTTTCGATAGAGCAGTTTTGAAACACTCTTTTTGTAGAATTTCCAAGTGAATATTTGGAGCGCTTGGAGGCCTATGGTGGAAAGGGAAATGTCTTCATATAAAAACTAGACAGAACCATTCTCAGAAACTACTTTGTGACGTGTGCATTCAATTCACAGGGTTTAACATTTCTTTTGATAGAGCAGTTTTGAAACACTCTTTTTGTACAATTTGGAAGTGTATATTTAGAGAGCTTTGAGTCCTATGGTAGAAAAGGAAATATCTTTACATAAAAAATAGACAGAAGCATTCTCAGAAACTACTTTGTGGTGTTTGCTTTCAACTCACAGATTCTGAACCTTCCTCTTGATAGGGCAGTTTTGAAACACTCTTTTTGTAGAATTTGCAAGTGGATATTTAGAGTGCTTTGAGGTCTATGGTAGAAAAGGAAATATCTTCACATAAAAACTAGAGAAAAGCATTCTCAGAAACTACTTTGTGATATTTGCTTTCACCTCAGAGAGTTGAACATTCCTTTTGATAGAACAGTTTTGAAACACTCTTTTTGTATTATCTGCAAGTGGACATTTGGATCTTTTTAAAGCCTTCATTGGAAATGGAATTTCTTCATATAAAGCTAGACATAAGAATTCTCAGAAACTTCTTTGTGATGTGTGCATTCAACTCACGGAGTTGAACCTTCCTTTCAATAGAGCAGTTTTGAAACACTTTTTTTATAGAATTTCCAAGTGGTTATTTAGAGCCCTTTGAGGCCTATGGTAGAAAAGGAAATATCTTCATAGAAAAATTAGACAGAATCATTCTCAGAAACTGCTTTGTGATGTGTGCGTTCAACTCACAGAGTTTAGCCTTTCTTTTGATAGAGCTGTTTTGAAACACTCTATTTGTAAAGTCTGAAAGTGGATACTTGGAGTGCTTTGAGGCCTTCTTTGGAATCGGGAATATCTTCACATAAAAAGGAGACAGAAGTATTCTCAGAAACTTGTTTGTGATGTCTGCACTCAACTCACAGATATGAACCTTCCTGTTCATAGAGCAGTTTTCCAACACTCTTTTTGTAGTATTTGCACGTGGATATTTAGAGCGCTTTGGGGCCTAAGGAAGAAAAGGAAATATCTTCTTTGAAAAACTACAAAGAAGCATTCTAAGAAACTACTTTGAGATGTTTGCATTCAACTCATAGAGCTGAACATTCATTTTGGTGGAGCAATTTTGTAAAAATCTTTTTGTAGTATCTGCAAGTGTGTATTTGGACCTCTTTGAGGCCTTCGTTGGAAATGGGAATTTCTTCGTATAAAAACTAGACAGAAGAATTCTCAGAAACTTGTTTGTGATGTGTGCATTCAACTCAGAGAGTTGAACGTTCCTTTCTATACAGTAGTTTTGAAACACTCTTTTTGTAGAATTTCCAATGGATATTTAGAGCCCTTTGAGGCCTGTGGTAGAAACGGAAATATCTTCATATAAAAACTAGGCAGAATCATTTTCAGAAACTACTTTGTGATGTGTGTGTCAAACTCTCAGAGTTTAACCTTTCTTTTGATAGAACAGTTTTGGAACACTCTTTTTGAAGAATTTGTAAGTGTATATTTAGAGGGCTTTGAGGCCTACGTTAGAAAAGGAAATATCTTCTCAAAGAAACTAGACAGAAGCATTCTCAGAAACTTCTTTCCAATGTTTGCATTCAACTCACAGAGTTGAACTTTCTTTTTGATAGAGCAGTTTTGAAACACTCTTTTTGTAGAATTTGCAAGTGGCTAATTAGAGGGCTTTGGGGCCTATGGTAGAAAAGGAAATATCTTCATAGAAAAACTACACAGAAGCATTCTGAGAAACTGCTTTGTGATGTTTGCATTCAACTCAAAGAGTTGAACATTTGTAACACTCTTTTTGTAGAATCTGCAAGTGTATATTTTGACCTCTTTGAGGCATTCGTTGGAAACGGGAATTTCTTCATATAAAAACTAGATGAAGAATTCTCAAACTTCTTTGTGATGTGTGCATTCAACTTACAGAGTTGAACGTTCCTTTCATTAGAGCAGTCTTGAAACACACTTTTTGTAGAATTTCCAAGTGGATATTTAGAGCGCTTGGAGGCCTATGGTAGAAAAGGAAATATCTTCATAGAAAAACCAGACAGAATCATTCTCAGAAACTAATTTGTGATGTGTGCATTCAACTCGCAGAGTATAACCTTTCTTTTAATAGAGCAGTTTTGAAACGCACTTTTTGTAGAACTTGCAAGTGTGTATTTTGAAGGCTTTGAGGCCTATGGTAGAAAAGGAAATATCTTCATATAAAAACTAGATGGAAGCATTCTCAGAAACTACTTTGTGATGTTTGCATTCAACTAACAGAGTTGAACATTCCTCTTGATAGAGCAGTTTTGAAACACTCTTTTTGTAGAATCTGTAAGTGGATATTTGGACCTCTTTGAGGACTTCGTTGAAAATGGGATTTCTTCATATAAAACTAGACAGAAGAATTCTCAGAAACTCTTTGTGATGTGTGCATTTAACTCACAGGTTTGAACCTTCCCTTCAATAGAGCAGTTTTGAAAACCTCTTTTTGTAGAATTTCCAAGTGGTTATTTAGAGTGCCTAGAGGCCTATGGTAGAAAAGGAAATAGCTTCACAGAAAAAATTGAAACTATCATTCTCAGAAACTACTTTGTGATGTGTGCGTTTAACTCACAGAGTTTAACCTTTCTCTTGACAGAGCAGTCTTGAAAACTTTTCAGTAGAATTTGGAAGAGTATATTTAGAGCGCTTTGGGCCAATGGTAGAAAAGGAAATATTTTCACATAAAAACTAGACGGAAGCATTCTCAGAAACTACTTTGTGATGATTTCATTCAACTGACAGAGTTCAACGTTCCTGTTGATAGAGCAGTTTTGAAACTCTATTTTTGTAGTATCTGCCAGTGGATATTTGGACCTCTTTGAGGCCTTCGTTGGAAAGGGGAATTTCTTCACATAAAAACTAGACAGAAGAATTCTCAGAAACTTTTTGTGATGTGTGCATTCAACTCACAGAATTGAAACTTTCTTTTGATAGAGTAGTTTTTATCCACTCTTTTTGTAGAATTTGCAAGTGCATATTTAGAGCGCTTTGAAGCCTATGGTAGAAAAGGAAATATCTTCATATAAAAACTAGACAGAATCATTCTCAGAAACTACTTTGTGATGTGTGCATTCAACTCACAGAGTAAAACGTTTCCTTTGATAGAGAAATTCTGAACCACTCTGTTTGTAAAGTCTGCAAGTGGATATTTGGAGCGTTTTGAGGTCTTCTTTGGAAATGGGAGTATCTTCACATAAAAAGTAGACAGAAGTACTCTCAGAAACTTCTTTGTGATGTCTGCACTCCACTCACAGAGTTGAACCTTCCTTTTGATAGAGCAGTTTTGAAACACTCTTTTTGTAGAATTTCCTACTGGATATTTAGAGCGTTTTGAGGCCTATGGTAGAAAAGGAAATATCTTCATAGAATAACTAGACAGAATTATTCTCAGAAACTACTTTGTGATGTGTGCGTTCAACTCACAGAGTTTAACCTTTCTTTTGATAGAGCTGTTTTGAAACACTCTTGTAGGATTTGCAAGTGAATATTTAGAGTGCTTTGAAGCCTATGGTAGAAAAGGAAATATCTTCATATAAAAACTAGACAGAATCTTTCTCAGAAACTACTTTATGATGTGTGCATTGAAGTCACAGAGTATAACCTTTCTTTTGATAGAGCAGTTTTGAAACACTCTGTTTGTAAAGTCTGCAAGTGGATATTTGGGGCGCTTTGAGGCCTACGTAAAAAGTAGACGGAAGTGTTCTCAGAAACTTCTTTTTGATGTCTGCACTCAACTCAGAGAGTTGAACCTTCCTTTTGATTGAGCTGTTTTGAAACACTCTTTTTGTAGAATTTGCAAGTGGATATTTAGAGTGCTTTGAGGATTATGGTATCAAAGGAAATATCTTCATAGAAAAACTACACAGAAGTATTCTGAGAAAGTACTTTGTGATGTTTGCATTCAACTCACAGAGTTGAACATTCCTCTTGATAAAGCAGTTTTGAAACACTCTTTTTGTAGAATCTGCAAGTGGATATTTGGACCTGTTTGAGGCCTTCGTTGGAAACGGGATTTCTTCATGTAATACTAGACAGGAGAATTCTCAGAAATGACTTTGTGATGTGTGCATTCAACTCACAGAGCTTAAACTTTCTTTTGATAGAGCAGTTTTGAAACACTCTTTTTGTAGAATTTGCAAGTGTGTATTTAGAGCGCTTTGAAACCTATGGTAGAAAAGGAATTATCTTCACATAGAAACTAGACAGAAGCTTCCTGAGAGACTACTTTGTGATGTTTGCCTTCCACTCACAGAGTTGAACATTCCTCTTGATAGAGCAGTTTTCAAACACTCTTTTTGTAGAATCTGTAAGTGGATATTTGGACCTCTTTGAGGCCTTCGTTGTAAATGGGGTTCCTTCATATAAAACTAGACAGAAGACTTCTCAGAAACTTCTTTGTGAAGTGTGCTTTCAACTCACAGATTTGAACCTTCTTTTCAATAGAGGAGTTTTGAAACACTCTTTTTGTAGTATTTCCAAGTGGATATTTAGAAAGTTTTGAGGTCTATGGAAGAAAAGGAAATATCCTCATGGAAAAACCAGAAAGAATGATTCTCAGAAACTAGTTTGTGACTTGTGCATTGAACTCACAGAGTTTAACCTGTCTTTTGATAGAGCAGTTTTGAAACACTCTGTTTGTAAAGTCTGCAAGTGGATATTTGGTGCGCTTTGAGGCCTTCTTTGGAAATGCAAATATCTTCACATAAAAAGTAGACCGAAGTATTCTCAGAAACTTATCTGTGATGTTTGTACTCAGCTCAGAGAGTTGAACGTTCCTTTTGATAGAGCAATATTGAAACACTCTCTTTGTAGAATTGGCAATTGGATATTTTGAGCGCTTTGAGGCCTATGGTAGAAAAGGAAATATCTTCATATAAAAACTAGACAGAATCATCCTCTTAAACTACATTATGATGTGTGCATTCAACTCATAGAGTTTAACCTTTCTTTTGATAGAGCAGTTTTGAAACACTGTTTCTAAAGTCTGCAAGTGGGTATTTTGAACGCTTGGAGGCCTTCTTTGGAAGCGGGTGTATCTTCACATAAAAAGTAGACAGAAGTATTCTCAGAAACTTCTTTGTGATGTCTGCACTTAACTCACAGAGTGGAACCTTCCGTTTGATAGAGCAGTTTTGTAACACTCTTTTTGTAGAATTTGCAAGTGGATATTTAGCGAGCTTTGGGGCCTATGGTAGAAAAGGAAATATCTTCATAGAAAAACTGCACAGAAGCATTCTCAGAAACGACTTTGAGATGTGTGCATTCACCTTACAGAGTTTAACTTTTCTTTTGATAGAGCAGTTTTGAAACACTCTTTTTGTAGAATCTGCAACTGGATATTTAGAGCGCTTTGAGGTCTGTGGTAGAAAAGGAAATATCTTCACATAAAAATTAGACAGAAGCATTCTCGGAAACTACTTTGTGATGTTTGCATTTGACTAACAGGGTTGAACATTCCTCTTGATAGAGCAGTCTTGAAACACCCTTTTTGTAGAATCTGCAAGTGGACTTTTGGATCTCTTTGAGACCTTCGTTGGAAACGGGATTTCTTCATATAAAACTAGACAGAAGAATTCTCAGAAACTTCTTTGTGCTATGTGCATTCAACTCACAGAGTTGAACTTTCTTTTTGATAAAGCAGTTTCAAAAAACTATTTTTGTAGAATTCCCAAGTGTATATTTAGAGCGCTTTGAGGCCTGTGGTAGAAAAGGAAATATCTTCCTAGAAAAACTAGACAGAATCATTCTCAGAATCTACTTTGTGATGTGTGCCTTCAACTCACAGAGTTTAACCTTTCTTTTGATTGATAGAGCACTTTTGAAACACTCTTTATGTAGAATCTGCAAGTGAATATTTGGACTTTTTTGAGGCTTTCGTTGGAAACGGGATTTCTTCATATAAAACTTGCATTATTTTTGTAACCAGATAGATGTCAAAGGGCAAAATTTACCCAGTAATACTAATTTTTAAAATGAGATTTATATAAGAGTTAGTGATCGGTTATACTTATCTAAAAACAGTGGAAACTGTATTAGTTAATTCAGTGGGCTAATATAGTTTTAATAATGAAAGGACATCTTAACTCACCCCTAACCTTTCAACAATAATGAGAAATAAGCTATAAGTTATGCCAAATTGTATGATGGTTTTCATGAAATAGCCCAAACTTAGACAACTCGTTTAGGCTTTGCAGATGCAAACTGTGATAGATCTTCCCTCTCTTTCATTCCTGGTGATTTATGTGTTTGGTACATTGTTTTGTTTTCTATAAAAAGAAAAAAAATTAAAACACAGTTGGAAGCCAAAGTCGATTTAACCTGGATAGATATAGCTTTCTAGTTGTAGAGGAAATGCTAAAAATCTCATTGTGACAGTGTATTGCTTTCTTGGAAGGCTTGATAATTGTTACTTAGTTTAGTTTTGATTTATATTTAGTTTTGCTCAAAGCAGGAATTTGAAAAGCTTTATGAAACATAGACATATACTTTCATTTTTATCAATTAATGAAATTACACACTTGCTAAACTAAACATCTGTTGTGTTGCAAGTGCTAGGGATGCAGTTACCACTCACAGTCCAGTGGATGTAAGTGGTAACTACGTTAGCTCAGAGAAAAATTTCAGAAGAAATGGAGCCAACAGTTCCTAAAATGAAGTTTGCTTTCTGTCAGCAAAAGGTTCGCAGATGGGTTTGCCACTTTAAAGAGCTTTGGAATAGATTTATTACTTCATATACTTAACATGAAGAGATGCATGCTCTTTTTGTAAACGGTAATTGTTTTAAAAGTTGAAAAGAAAACCTTTGGAGAACTCAAAAATCTTCCTTGAAATAATTTTACTCAGAGCATTGGCCTCTCCCTGGTTTAGGAATCATTCTTGCCAGAGATTCAATCTCGAAAGTAAGTTGGAGGTGGGAAGGGGAGGATGGGAGAACTCAAATCATCGAGCACATGTGTTCCAGAAAACTGGAGCTATGGAAAACTTCTACCTAATGTGCTGTCATTGTGTTTTGTGGAATTGGCAGAAGCTGTGTAGTCAGTCAATCATTCTGTGCCTATTGTTTCAGTAATGCTGCCTAAAAGGAAAATTTTAAGAAAATGTCTGATGAAAGACTGATGTAATAACTTTACCCTGGGAGCCAGAGGGAATTACTAGATGATTTTAATTAGGGGTGTGGTTGACTTTCATTTTGAACATTTCACTCTGACCTTGGTATAAATTAGGGAAGGGGCAAGAATGGCAGCAGAAACAACAGTGGAGATGTATTAATAGTTTAGGGAAAAGGAAATGAAGACTGAAATTAAGATGAAGGGGTAGATGTGAAAATCTTTCCTATATGGACTTAACAGATGTCTAGAATATTTTGCTGTTACTGAGGTGATTTCTGTTTGCCTCTATTAGAAAGCATACTATATAGATTGACAGAAGTGACTGAGAAAGCCCACTCTGTCTGCTCTGTTTTCAGAGAACTGACTTTTGAAATGTCTAGATAAATCATTTAAATCGTTTTAGAACACAGCTTTGGTTCTGAGACATGAAATCTCTTGAACAATGAAAATGGCATTTTGTAACAGGATTTGACATTAACAGATAAAGGATGTATTAAAGTATTAAAGTGTTTTGTTTATAGAATTTGATAACCTTGATAACATCTTATATGTTACATATATGTTACTTAGTATATTTTTAATACTTAGTACTTAGTATTTTGATACTTAGTATTTTTCAGGGATACTGAAAGTCTATTGATTGTGCTAAAATTGCAGCAGATCGTCTCACTTTATTGTATTTTAAATTAGTAACTGTCGAGGTGTTGACTCTTGTACAAAATTGGGAAAGCTTCTCCATTATTATCAGAATATGGCACTTTGGCCAACTTTTAAAAAAATATATAAAAGATATTTTTAGATGATAGCATTATTTGCATAATATAAAAATTAGATTTGATGAACTAATGTTTTCCATTTTTAGGAAATTGTAATTAATGTATGAAAAAAATTAGAAAGACAGGATACACTACATAAACCCAAAAGATATCTTTCAGTTTGTTGCTTGTCTTAAGGTTCTTTTTTGTGAATTGTTAAATGATTGATTAGTAAAATATGAGAACCATTTTGATCATAATTGAATCTTGAGGAGATTTATCTTTTATTTTTGTTTTGATGTTAAGTTTACCTCAAGCTATCTGATTACTTTGAATGAATGTCTTTAATTTCCTTGTGTCAAATTCTTATAAAAAGGCATTCTCTTAAGAACAGAGAAGAAAATAGAGATACATAGATATATAATTAATATTGTTGTAATAAAACAGATCATAAATTCACATTTTGATGATATGCTGTCAAGTTGGTACACAGTATTGGCTCTGACTTCTTATTTCCTAGCTCAATTTGAGGTCATATTTCAATATTAAATACTTTTGAGTTGTTTCTGTATACTTAAAAGATATCCTTGGTTCCTTATAGTCATGTGGCTGACAGAATAAAGTACATACACTTCTGTATGTAACCAGTTTCACAGTGGCTTAGCTATAAATCAGAATTTATCTTCCCAATTTATTCATCATCTTAGGACTCGGTGCTACAAGATTGGTTGTTATACAATTTTACATTTAGAAGTTTTTCCATTTTTATTTACAAAGATAATAGTCTCATAAGTGAATGCTTTTTCATGAACTCAGGACACTCCCTTTTACTCTCTGTTTTGCTCACCTTTTTCTTTACTTTTAAACTTAGTGACATACCCTATGTCCTTAGAACCATGTAGCTAGCTTTGATCACGTAATGTGTCAGGTTTTTATATAATTTCTTGATTTGAAAAAAGAGAAATAGAACCTTATATTTTTAAGTATTGCCTCCCTATCTGCCCTTCAGCTCGTTTTACATTTAGTATTCAAATATGTTCGGTGTTCGGCCTTTGCTGTTTTTACTAATTTTCTTCCCTGCTTTTAGTTAACAGCCAGGTCCTTGCCTGCTGTGCAGTCTGATGAAAGACTTCAGCCTCTGCTCAATCACCTCAGGTAATATAAAGGCACAGCCTGTTATGCTTATAAATCCAAGTGCAGTAAAGTGAATAAAGTATATTAAAGTGGTGAAACCCTTTCAATTACTAAAAACTTATTTTTTTTCTTGCTTTCATTCCGTTATTCAAATTGAAGTTCTTAATACCATGGACTCGTTACCCTTGACTTTAGGGCACTGTAGAAAGCTCTTTTAATTCAACAACAGTGTGCTGAACTGCTTGATAAGTTTAAGTTAAATGAGTAGAGATAACTAACTTTACAGAAAGATCTCAAATGAATGAGCTATTTATGTAAATACAAGGTTAAGGCATACTTTTATTGAGGATAGATGAGTTGGATGGAGTTTGTTTCTAAATACAAAAATAATATAGTCTCATTATTTAAAAAATAAAGTTAGAAAATACAGGAAAGGAAAAGGAAAACCCTATCATTACTACTCAGAAATAATATTTATCCTTTCTATGTTTTTTAATTTTAATTTTAATTTTTTATTTTTTGAGATGGAATCTTGCTCTGTCACCCAGGCTAGAGTGCAGTGGTGTGATCTCCGCTCACTGCAACCTCCGCCTCCCCGATTCAAGCAATTCTTGTGCCTCAGCTTCCCAAGTAGCTAGGATTACAGGTGTGGGGCACCTCGCCTGTTTAATTTTTGTATTTTTAGTAGAGACAGGGTTTTGCCATATTGGCCAGACTGGTCTCGAACTCCTGACCTCAGGTGATCCACCTGCTTCAGCCTCCCAAAGTGCTGGGATTACAGGCATAAGCCACCGCACCCTGCCCTTTCTATGTTTTTGTTGTTGTTGTTGTCATTGTTGTTTTTTACTCAGTGTTGAAATTATAGTTTATGTGACTACTTTTTCCATTTTTATAAATATTGTAATATTTTTTCCTTTAGTATTAAAATCTTTCTAAAAACATTATTGTTAGTGACTACATTATATTTTCTTGTATATCTGTACTATAGCATATTTATCTCCCTTTGGGAAGCTTTAGACCATTTCCAGTTTTTTATTCCTACTATAAAATAATGTGATATGTTAACCTTTATTTGTATTTTAGATCATTTTCTTAGGGTAGGTTTTCAGAATTAGAATTACTTTGTCAAAGGGTGTGAACCATTTCAAAGATTTAAGTGTATATGTATATTTCTTTTTCAAAATCTTATTCTACCTATACACTCATATTTGTATAATACTGCCATGTAACTATACTCTGAACAAGATAGGGCAGTCAAAACAGTTGCTAATAGGTTAGACATAGAGATACTGTTGTGATACTGTGCATTTTGTCGGTAATAATAATTCATTTTCCTTATTTTTGAGGTGGGATTAACTACCTGTATTCTTTGCTCACTTATTGATAGCATCTCCTGATCTTATTTGCTTTTACATACTTTAAAGGATAGTGACTCTTTGTTGTATTTGTTACATACATTTTTTCTAAAATTCTAAAATTGTATTAGTCAACATACCTACATTTTCAGGTTTTATGTAGTCAAGCACCAATAGTGTTTTCCTTTATGGTTTTGAAAAATTATTTTTAAACTTCTCTTTCAGAAGTGTGGATAGATTTTTACTTTCACCAGAAAGTTTTAGTTTTAGTTTTCTTTTTCTTTCTTAGTATTTCTTTATTTGTCCTTTCTTTCTTCCTCCCCTCTCCACTTTCCTTGCCTTTTCTTCCTGCTCTCCAGTAACTGTTCCTTCCCAGACAGCTTTTTAACCTTTGTATAATTGTTTTGTTGGGTTACGAAGAAGTCGTAACCTTTGTGTAATTGTTTTGTCGGATTGATCAAGTCTAATATTTCAGCAGGGAATGAATAGCATACATTTTTATGTATAACAACATTTATACATGATTGTTAAATTTACTAGAACTCTGTGTTAGTGAGTTAAGAATCTCAGAAATTATTTTTGAGTCTCTTGCTTAATGTCCACCTGCTGCATTCAACTCTGTTGGCAATTTTATCTCTTGAGTATATCTCTTGCTATCATAGCATCTTGTCTGTTTGCTTTGCCCTTTCTGATATATTTCACATCATTGCCATATGTGTTTATATTATTCATTGGCTTAAGACCCATCTCTGCCTCTCCAATTTCATTCTGGAGGAAGTCCGAACTTCTTAGCCTGGCATAAGAGGTCCTTCTGGAAGAGGCCTGGGCTGTCTGTCTCTTTGGACTCCTGTTTTAACACTGAGATCCTAATTTCACCAAATGCCGTGAAGTTCCTTTAACACAACATGCTTTTTGCTCACTCACCTCTACGGCATTACAAATATTTTTCCTTCTGCCACTTCTGTTTATGTAAATTTGTAGATATATAATATATATAATTTTAAAACATTTCAAATGTATTTAATATAATTTTAAGATATTTTAAATGTATTTAATATAATTTTAAAACATTTTAAATATATAATATAAATATATATTTTAGAAATATATATTTAAAGCATATTGTAGATGTATATAAATACGCAAATCTATTTATATTCTCCTCATGCTCCACTTTTATAACAACTTCTGCTTGTCTTTTAAAACTCATCTCAAACATTACCTCTTCTGATAAGTTTTCCCTGACCATTAATTAGTTCACCTCCGTAGTCTGAATTGGAAGTCTTTTATAGATATTTTCATAATATCCCATGCCTTCCTCTGTATTACAGAATTTGTGATATTGTTATTGTTTGTTTACTGTTTGATTTCTCCATTATAGTATGCTTGAAGGCTTGTAAAGTGATGTTCATATTTGTATTTTCAATAGCGGAGACAGTATCTGGTGTATGATAGGTATTATATGTTTTGTTGAATGAATGAATACAAGTTATATTAGTGAAATTTTGTTGTTTTTTTCTGCATAAAGTTTTTATAATTTATAAATCATCTTGTCAAAATTTTTTTCCTAGAAAACCACTGGTTCAAAAGGTAAAAACCTAAAGGGTAGAATCTAGCTTCTAGTTAATCTCACAGTTGATTCTGAGAGATAATGATGGATTCTCCTTCCTCCATCTGAATATGGTAATTGCCAGCTAGAATTTAGATTAACTACTGACACATCTCTTTGAGTCCTTGAAAGTTGCACAAACTGTAAATTCATTTAAGGGCTTTTATTCTCTGTGGATTTCACTCATGACTGGTTGCTAGGCAACCAGGACTAGATGCTACATGTAATGTGCACCCACCGCTGTTGCTTTATTATTATTATTATTAAACAAAACAGTTTCTCATTTTATTACCATGTCAGAGACATGTATATGTCGGGTGGCAGCTGATGTGCATAGTTTGACACTTCCTGTTCTACAAAGTAACCTTGTGATAACGCCTTTCAAGAATATTGAATTGTTGCTTTTGCTTGTCTAAATGTAATGTTTTCATTTTATCTTCCTTTTGCTTAGTTCTAAATAGGAAATAATATTATTTGGTTTGAGAGATTTTAATAATAATTTTGTTAGAAAAAAATTGATTTGCATGAACTGTGTAATTTAAATGTTACCTAGAGGCGGATGGACATTAGGAGGTTGATACCGAGATCATTATTAGGTCTAATTTTGTTTATTGCCTCTAATGAGGAAAGAGGAATGATGAGTAGCATTTTAATTAAATTTGTCAATAAAACTAATTTGGGAGATAATACAAATACCTGTAAAAATTGAAGTAGCAATACAGAGAAATTCTCAAATCATTTTACAGGATTTAGAGACTCAAAGAGAATTAAGGTAACACTGCCAATCAAATAATCTAGAATATCACTTAACAATATATATTATTTTGAGACTGCAGAAGTGATGTGTCCAAACTGTTTTAGTTGAATCCAATTCTCAAGTACAGAAAAATATCGTGCTTCAATATCTTATGGCAGTACAACTGTGTTTTTAATTCATTAGTATCGTCCATTCACTCATTAATTACTTAGTGCCCGTTATGTGCTTAGAATTTAAAGAAAACACACAATCTCTGTTTTCAGAGAGTTGGGTTTGATTTCATTTGAGAGACAGGCACTTGAACAAGTTATAAAATTTGTATCATTTTCTATCAGAATTAAATACAATGTACATAATTTTGTTAATTGAACTGTCTCCCTCGTGGAATTATCTCCTTAAGTAATCGGGCCATAACTTAATTGTTTTGGTTTCCATGCATTCTAGCACAGTGGCTCACAGTGGGAGCTCAGATTGGACTGAAGTTTATTCCTTTTTTGTTGTTTTATTCTTAGTCAGCTTTCTCAGGCTGAATGGACTGAACTGTAATCTCACTTGAGGGATAATATTGTCATTAACTAAGAAGGAGAATAAAGAAAGGAAGACAAGGCAATTAGGGAGTGAATATGATGCTTAGATGGTAATTTCAGTAGTTTCAGACATTTTAAGCTTGAGATACCTATGGGGACCTATGTGGGGGATGTTTAGTAAGCAGTTGAATACAGACCCACAGTTGAAGAGTGAGGTTTACATCAGGGAGACATTTGCTAATCATCACTGTGCAGGTCTTGGTTAAAATGAAGGGAATGGTTGAGATCACTGAGGAAGAGAGTATAGAGAGACAAGAAAAGGGTGAAGGGTTCTGAATCGAACCCACAGAATATCAGCGTTTAAATAACTTGTGATGGGCAGTGCGGGAGTTGGGATATGAGAAACCGGTAAAAATACCAGGGAGGAGCTTTGAACAAAAAAGGATAGTGGTATGACGGGTGCTAATGGTATGGATACAAGTCCAAGTCTCATGAGGATTTGAGGAATAAATAAGAAATGAGGCTGTGGAGATATAGGTAGTAGGCTACTCTTGGTAGAGCTTAATTCTGAGGACATGTCAGGAAAAAGGACTGCATCTGTGAGCTTCATGGTTGAAGGAAGTGTTTTATTTTTTCCTTAAGATTGGTAAGATGAGCATATTTACAGGTTAAGGCAGAAATGAGTAGTATGGGAGTAAGAGGGAATAATTGAAGGGGCAATGTTTTAGGAGGGTTAGAAGGGGATAGGCCAGGAAATCAAACTGACTGGAGTTTAAAAAGTACTTTCCAATCTAGCTTTTTGGTGCATACTCAGAACAATCCAGTGTGGATGGTAGATGGTTATTTATCATAATCCCTATTTTACAGGTTGGTGATGGAGCCTCATGATGTTCTCATTAAGAAAACCTAATTTTTCTTTTTCTTTTTTTTTTTTTTTTTTGAGACAAAGTCTCACTCTGTCACCCAGGCTGGAGTGCAATGGCATGATCTCAGCTTACTGCAACCTCCTCCTCCTGGGTTCAAGCGATTCTTCTGCCTCAGCTTCCTGAGTAGCTGGGACTACAGGCATGTGCCACCACACCCAACTAATTTTTTAGTTTTAGTAGGGATGGGGTTTCATCATGTTGGCCAGACTGGTCTCTAACTCCAGACCTCAGGTGTTCTGCCTGCCTTGGCCTCCCAAAGTGTTGGGATTACAGGTGTGAGCCACCATGCTCACCGTGCACCAGCCAAGAAAACCTGATTTTTCTAATGAAAAATACTGCCTTTCCCTCTCCTCAAAAGAGATGAATTAATTATTTCATAAGACTATACCATTTTTCAAAATTGGTACCAGGAACTTTTCTATTGGAAAAAATAAAATAACTTAGACTTACAATAATATAAAGTTTAGAGAGAATTTGTATAAATCGTTATTTCTGCTTTCACCAAATTGCATATGATTAGATATGTAATCTAAGGAGCCTGCATCTCATTGTGGCTTTACTGTCATTCTCATGGTTGTATATCACTGCATTTTCTAGGGTAAATTATATCGTTCACTGATTTGGTAGTTTGGAGATACATAAAGGTCTTGGAATATGTTCCCATGAATGTAGAAGTTTATTGTAAATAAGTATCTTTGCTATCCTAATGATGCTACCATGGGATAATATTTATAAAAATGGCATTAGGCTAGCAAGTGTGCATGATAAAGATGTTTATTTTTATTTATTATCTCACTTATAAATATGAAGTATAAACAGGTACAACTAGAGAGGAAAACTTGCAGCCCATATTATACATGTGATAACTTTTAGTTGTATGATTGAGAATTTTTCCCCCTTAAAAATAACGCCTACAGTGTATGTATCTTCCTCCTTTATCCCTTGACTTCAAGATATGAAGTGCATTGGGGGACAGCATATTATAAGTCACTGTTATAAGTCACATATTATAAGTTGCTATTATTGGCTGGACGTGGTGGCTTATGCCTGTAATCCCAGCACTTTGGGAGGCTGGGGCAGGCAGATCACTTGAGGCCAGGAGTTCAAGACCAGCCTGTCTCTACTAAAAATACAAAAATTAGCCCACTGTGATGGTGCGCACCTGTAATCCCAGCTGCTCAGGAGGCTGAGGCAGGAGAATCACTTGAACCTAGGAGGCAGAGGTTGTAGTGAGCCAGGATCATGCCACTGCACTCCAGGCTGGGCAACACAGCAAGACTCTGTCTCAAAAAAAAAAATTGCTATTATTTAATGTTTTGTCATTAAAGAATAACTCATTTTTAAAATGTGTATTTGTCACACCACAATTTTGTGAGCATATTTCAGCCCAAGAATGAATTAGAAATCAAACAAAGATAAAGCAAGCTAAGACAAGTATTACTTATAGTAAGTACTTGGACTGCATCATATCGATTAACTTTTAGTGCATACTGATTTTGCAAGCAGATGTTTATACAAACCATTATTTTAAAATCATTTAAAGTAATAAAAGCATCTTCCTTCAGTTGGTATTATTACTACTTTTGTAACATTCCTTTTCCGAAGGCAGTACATTTTGTTAATATGCACACATGTCTACTTATTTTTCTAAAGAATATGCTTTCACAAATTTTTTATCAGACATGTAATCTCTGTAAGAAAGCTTTTCTTACTATCCAAAGTGGTACAGCTATCATTGTTTTCTTTTTGAATTAGTTCTCATTTTGAAATCAGAAAATTGTGTGGGCATTCATGTGTCTATTGTGGTAAATATGAAAATAAATGCCAGAAAATGGTTTAGTAGATAGGGGCTTCATCAGTTGAGGGCTGAAATGAAAGCCTCATTAGCCTGGTCCACATGCTTCAGTTGTTTGTTAGCTCTTTCTCATCACCTGTTTCCAGTCTCTGGCCGTACCTTGAACATTTATTTCCTTTTCTACATGCAGCAGCACAAGCTTTTAGTTCACTGATTATAGTGAAGGTTTTCCAGGTGCTGTGTAAGATATTAATAAATTAGAATATATTGTTTTCCATTGTCACCTTTGAATTACAATTTTTTCACATCTGTATGGAAAATGTTAATGCCTTCTTAGAGGTATACTTGTGAATAGTCAGCATTTTGTTAGAATCAGCCGGTTGTGTTAAGGGCACTATAATTGGTACTGATTATGTACAAAAGAACTAATAGATGTGGTCCCTTAACTCAAGATGCTTATATTTTTAAGGGGAAAGAGGACCAAAATTTATAAATAGTCCCCCGCTCCCCACCCACACACATACCCAAAGCTGCACCGGAATAGTTGCTGCAAGTTAAGTAGATAGTAAAGAGAGTGATAGGAAGTCTTGTGAGAAGCAGTATCTGCATGTGGATTATGTTACAAATTTAATGTCATTTAATGTTTTTGGTAAAATGTATAGTCACAATATATAAAATCACCTCCCTCCCTAATGCAACCAACACTAAGCTTCTTTTGTGAACTTGATGCATACTTTAATTATAAAGTGGTTAACTTTTAAAATTTTCACTTAATGTGTTATAACTAGGTAATAAAGTAGAAAATTGATTTTCATGACTCCAATTTTAAGTATCTGCATAATAGTCAATCAAGAATAGATATATCTACTTTTACTTAGCCATTCCCATTTTATCAGATATGTATAGCTTTTGGGATTGAATAAACCTGTGGCAAAAAATTATAGAATGTGAACAGTTTCTGTGTGTTCAGGCAAAGTAACTGAGAAGAAATACTGTAGTAACTTTATGTAGAAGGAATTGCATCATAGATGTTTTCCAGCAGATCAGATGGAGGTAAGAACAAAGAACAGCAGCAGCCTAGGTGGTGTATAGCTTTGAAAATACAGGGAAGTTCATTAGTCTAAAAATGCCATCTTGCCCAAGTGAGAAAGTGGCAGATTTCTTAACAAGTGAACGAGTGACTTGAAAAAGGTGGAATTGAGGAAGCCAAATGTTAAAGCTTATTAGCGTGTGTAGATTAGAGCCTTTATAGCCATTTTTTCAAACACTCCTTTAGAATATTTAAAAATCACTCATGTCATATGTCTGTGTGCATAAGTACATTGTATATATATTCCCTGATATTTAGCAATGACACTAGCATTTTTATATAAAGAAAACAAAACAAAGAGTGACCAGTGTATTAGTTTTCTATTCCAGCCTTAACAAATGCCACACATTTAGTGGATTAAAACAATGCCCATTTATTATCTCACAGTCTGTAGGTTAGAAATTGGACATGGGTCTTGCCAGGCTAAAATCAAGGTGTCAGCAAGGCTTATATTCCTTACTGGAGGCTCTGGGGAAGAATTTACTTCCAAGGTTATTTAAGTTGTTGGAGATCCTGTTTTTATGCTGGCTGTCAGTTGAAGCCTGGTCTTTCCTCCTAGAGGCTGCCCACATTCCTTCTCATGCTTTCCAGGATTTCCTAGAGGCCTCTGAAGTCCTTGCCTGTGGGTCCCATCTCAGAGCCTTCCCATGCTTCAGATCTCTCTAATTTATGCTGCTGTGTCACACTGCTTCCAACCTGAGAAAGTTTTCTGCTTTTAAAGGCCCATGCGATTAGATCAGACTACAGGGATATCCAGGATAATCTTTTCATCTAAGATCCTTAACCTTAATTACATCTGCAGAGCCCCTTTTACCATGTAACCTAACACATTCAGAGGATCCAGGAATTAGAGCATATGTGGAGGGTCACTGATTCGGCCTCTTATAGTGAAGGTTTTCTTTTGAGGTGGGAGTATGGAGTGAAAACAGCTTTTTGTATCACTTTTAATCAATTTTACATGTAAGTCACCATTCTTAATTCATGTAGAATACTAACATTTCCTGGAGTTTTGTAGCTAATTTACTTTACTAGTTTAATATATCTTAAAGTTGAAAAAAGGTATAAGAAATGAGTTCTTAACAGAAATATAAAAAGTTACTGATTTTCTTTTTAATGATATTGAAGGAAGATAGAAAAATCTTTCCTGTCTTATCAACCAGCTACCTAGAACAAGGCAAATAAACACTGCTGTAAATAGTAGACTTTGTAATGAGGTTACATATAGTGGCTGAGATGTACTGAGGTACTTTGTGTGAGAGCTGTTCAGTAATACATGCTCACACACCTTTTAGCATTCTAAGAGTTTGTTTTATTTATTGTTTATTGAACACATATTAAAGGAACTCTTACTGGTTGCCTCACATGATGTTAGGTTCTAGGGATACATTTATTTCTGCCTTTGTAGGACTGAATAGTTATCAGTAAAAAGAGAAGTTTAACTAAAGTAATTATAATAAATCATGATGACTCTTGGCATAGTGGAGGTATAATAGTTTTAATATCTGCAGTTGTTAAATTTCCTATTCTTCACTCATTGGGTTTCTTTAAAACATTGATCACTCTCTGGTTAAGTTATAAAGGAAAATTAGTGATTTTACACTGTGTTAGTCATAAAACACTAACAGTACAAAATAATAATGATGTTATGGGAAATAATATTCTTAAAAGGCCTGAGAAAGCATTGTGGCAGTATTTGTGATATATTAGCAACAAAAAGCAACTTGTTGAATGTTATGTAATAGAACTTTCTGTGATGATGGAAGTGTTCTATACCTGTACTGTTTAATCCAGTAGCCAATAGCCACTTACAGCTATTGAGCATTTGAAACATGGCTAGTGCTACTAAAGAACTGAATTTCAAATTTTATTTAATTTTATTTAATTAAAATTTTAATTTCAGCAATCAATTTTAGTTAATGGTATCTGTATTTGGTAGTGTAGTTCCATATTGTATTTGAAATTTATTTAAATAATTACATATTTTTAAAAAATCATAGTAGTGGGGCTTAGAGTTTCAAATCTGAGGTAGCCCTGGAAAAGCTATATGTATGGAGCTGTTATAAGCAATTGTGGCCACTGAGGGTCATGAGGCTCCTAAGTCAGGGCAGCTCTCACATGTACTGGTGGGGATTTTGCCTCTGTACCTGAATGAATTGTCCACCTGTGCAGGACTGTGGTAAGGATTCCATGGAAGAGGAATACTTGAAGCTGCCCAGCTAGCAAGCTGTGATTCCTGTCCTGGATCTTTCCAAGTAAACTGATGCCACAAGGGGTCTATGGCATAGTCTTGTGAGTCTAAATGTTTAGTTAACCTAAGAGCACCCCCTGGCATTCCAGAACCAATTAACCTTTATTTACTCAGAGTAAACACAAAACAAAATTAATAAATTGAGCTGAGGAAAGGCAGACTACCAAGACTCATCAAAAGTTTAATGCACTCTCAATTGTTTCTAATTACTATTTGGAAAGTAGTGCTAGAAAGGATAATACAAGATGAATTTTAAATGCCCACTTTTAGTAGTGGTATCTTGGTTCTTGACTTACTGCATACATACAATCTACCAGGAACAGTCATCAAATGTGTACAGTGGTGGAAACAAACAAAAATGTGTATAGCGGTGCATCTTCTCAGGTCTTATTGAGGTGTGTCCTTAATCATCCAATGTAAAGTCACTCTCACAAGTGCTTTATAATATTTTCTCACTATGTTATGTTTTCTTCTCAGCAACATCACTAGTTGGAATGATCGTTTTAATTTGTTTGCTTGTTCAGTATTTTTTTGCCTAGGGTATGAGCTCCATTAGATGAAGGAATTTGGCCATCTTGTTTACCACTATCTCCCCATTACTTATAAGAATGGCATAATAGGACCTCAGTAAACACTTGAATGAATGAATAAATGAATGAATGGATGAGTGAATTATAGAAACTGTCAGGTTAAAAAATTTTACCTTTAATTCCGTTTTCCAAGCTGCTAAATATTGAGACTGAATGAGATGGTAATTTGGACAAAAAGCTGATGGATTTTCTGTTATTTCCAAAGGATAACTATGATAAAGAAATGCTTTTTATCTTTGTAGAAATGTACTACTGTTTTTATCTTTTGTTTTGGGACATAGAACTCTTCTTTATGCAATCAGGAACTAATCATGGAGGACAGAGAGTACTTACTATTCCTCTGTGTGATCTCAGAAGTGCTCCCTCTTTTTCTTACCAATGACTTATTATTGGGGAACCTGCCCCGATATTCACATAGGTTCTTTTCTATTTTCCTTAAGCGTCAGCCAGCTTGAGAAATAAAGGGACAGAGTACAAAAGAGAGAAATTTTAAAGCTGGGTGTCCAGGGGAGACATCACATGTCGGTAGGTTCCGTGATGCCCCACAAGCCGCAAAAACCAGCAAGTTTTTATTAGGGATTTTCAAAAGGGGTGGGAGTGTGCGAATAGGTGTGGGTCACAGACATTAAGTACTTTACAAGGTAATAGAATATCACAAGGCAAGTGGAGGCAGGGCGAGATCACAGGACCACAGGACCAAGGCGAAATTAAAATTGCTAATGAAGTTTTGGGCACCATTGTTATTGATAGCATCTTATCAGGAGACAGGGTTTTTGAGATCAACAGGTCTGACCAAAATTTATTAGGCAGGAATTTCCTCTTCCTAATAAGCCTGGGAGCGCTATGGGAGACTGGGGTCTATTTCAGCCCTGCAGTCTCGACCATAAGAGATGGCTACGCCCAGGGGGGCCGTTCATAGGCCTACCCCCAGGCGGGCATTCTCTTTCTCAGGGATGTTCCTTGCTGAGAAAAGGAATTCAGCGATATTTCTCCCATTTGCTTTTGAAAGAAGAGAAATATGGCTCTGTTCTGCCTGGCTCACCGGCGGTCAGAGTTTAAGGTTCTCTCTCTTATTCACTGAACAATTGCTGTTATCTTGTTCTTTTTTCAAGGTGCCCAGATTTCATATTGCTCAAACACACATGCTGTACAATTTGTGCAGTTAATGCAATTATTACAGGGTCCTGAGGCGACATTCTCCTCAGCTGACAGGTTCAAGAGATGAAAGTAAAGACAGGCATAGGAAATCACAAGGGTATTGACTGGGGAAGTGATAAGTGTCCATGAAATCTTAACAATTTATGCTTAGAGATTGCAGTAAAGACAGGCGTAAGAAATTATAAAAGTATTAATTTGGGGAACTAATAAATGTCCATGAAATCTTCACAATCCACGTTCTTCTGCCATGGCTTCAGCCGGTCCCTCTGTTTGGGGTCCCCGACTTCCGGCAACAAGTTATTCAAATGTTGACCACTTGTATTCAAAAACAAAACCAGAAACAAAACTGTTACATACCTTGCTCTTTTGATCTATGAAATGAAACCCTTAAACATTATGAGGCATTGTCAATGGCTATGTGAGACTGAAGTGGTGTATAAGGAAAGGATGTAATGTGACTGTTGGACTGTGACTTTTAATAATAATCCTCATTAACTGTTCCAGCACCTCCTACCAAAGCTCCCAAAACATTGTGGCAGTTATTGGGGAACAAATGTGAGGGGATAATCCTAGAATGCCATAAATGTGTAATAGCTCATCTCAGTAGCATTCCACATTGTGTAAATTATTTGTGGGGGAATGGGAAGACGTTGTCCATCATTTTAACGTATTAATTTTGCTGGATGTTGGAACTTTATTCCCTCGACCTTTCACTTTTTCATGACTAGCCTATTATGAATCCTTTCTTTATTGTAGTCATTTGACTATCCTGGACCCAACCCAAAACCAAAACCATCTGTATTTGGGTTCATCATATTACTAGAATATATACTAAGAATATAGAGAGTAAAGGAACATAAAATTTTTACTCATGAAAATAGATATGTTTGTTGGGGGTCTTAAAGTTATATGGTGAAAATACCAATGTAAAGCTGTAGTTTGAATATATGTTACAGGGGTGTATGTGTGTATTTTACTTTTAAAATCAATTTTATTGAGGTACAATTTATACACAAAAAATCCACCCATTTAAAGGGTATAGTTCAATGTCTTTTGACAAATGTACAGATATTTTTATAGAAAAATGAGATGCAACTTTCACTTATCTTGGAGTTCATTGGATTTTGGTTATAACTTGAAATAAATAGGAAAATATGGGCCACATGGGGAAGATGAGGGAAACATAAAATAAAGTAGCAGTTGTACTATTTATAGTTCCTACCTGATATGGAAACCCCTATGGTCCTGATTTTTATGGATATTTTAGCCTCTTGGAATCATACAATTTCTCCCAGTTATAAAGAAAAATAGATCTTACACTGCATGTTGTCTGATGGTAGTTTTCTGTGGAGACATTTTTTTAAATAAAGTTGAATAAAATTTATGCTTGTGGAAAAATAATCTACATTCAACCAATTTAAAACAGAATTTTATTGATTGTGTTCTCATTTGGAATAACTGCAGGGAAAATCACCTGGGCTAATACAAGCTGGATATCATTTACTACGGATTTAGCTGGAGAAAAAAAACCCAAACTCATTTCAATTTCAGTGGTGACAGCTGTTGACTGAATTTTCCTGTGATATCCTTCACCACAGGAAATGATATATTGTAGCTTTGGTTCCTTTGATTTCCTACCCACCCAACAAATCCAAAGTGCAGGGACTGTGCTTTCTAAATGTCTGAGTGGCTTAGTTTATGTGGATAGGGTTTTTTTTTTTTAACACCCTAAGTGGGTAAAATTGTGATTGCAAAAAATAGATATATGGGTAATGTACAGAAACATTTATTTCCTCTTCCTGAATTGTTTTTCCATTTGTGCTATTATTACACCTGGCTTTATGTGAAAAGGCTGTATTGGAACTTGGTATACTTTTATGGAATGATGTAGGAGATTACAGTTCATTTTGAAAGATGTATTAGCTAACATTTTAATGGTCCAAATAAATATGTTTCTTTGATGCAGAGATCAGTTTTGATTATTTGTGATGCTTTCTTCACTGCTTTTTTATTTTATGCTAATTTAAAAAATATGATAAACTATAACCTGTCAGATAGAAAGGAGTAAATGGTGTTAACCTCTTTAGGCTTAAGAATACTGGGAAATGCTTGACAAAGAATGGAAATATGTTTTATATGTTATTGTTTTATGAATGTCAGAAACTCTGTCTGCTGGTGGGGAGGGAGGGCAGAGAAATACCCCCTGAGGATGAGGGAGGAACTCTTTCCACTCTGGCTTAGGATTTTGCTGTAAGCCACATTTGCATCCTGTCTATTATGGCTTCTTACAAATGAGAGAATGGACAGTTGCAATTAGGTATTGAGGTTGAGGTTGGCCAAGCAGCCCCAAAGCCTCGCAGATAAACATGTCACAGCTTTCTTTGTCCCCAGAGAAACAATTCAGGTTACCGCTAAGCTAATCAGAATTCAAGATTGCTTCCCTAATACTATAAATGGCAAACTATGACTTAAATATAAAAACTTGATTCCCAAGTAAAATGTTGTAAAAACAAGCACATTTACAATAAACTTGAAGCACTTCCTTTAGTTGGCCTAATTGCAGCCTGTATTTTGTTTATGACTGGCAGAGATTAATCTTAGTGTAGCAAATAGAAGTCAGGGCAAGTCATCTGGCTATTCTATAGGTATACCAAGTCCTCCAGCGAACTATTTGATTGTTTTATGTCATTGTGTCCTCACTATACAATAATGCTATCCAGTAGAATCATAATGAGAGCAACAAATGTAAGCCACATATATAATTATATATAATTTTAAATTACTCAGTGAAATTAATTTTGATAACATACCTTATTTAACTCTTATTCAAAATAGCTTTTATTTATTTTTTTAAGAGATGGGGTCTTGCTCTTTTGCCCAGGCTCAGCTACTTGAACTCCTAGGCTCAAGTAATCTTTCTTCCTTAGCTTCCTGAGTAGCTGGGACTACAGATATGTGCCACCACACCCAGCTCAAAATATTTTAATATGTAATCACTATGAAAAATTGTGAATGAAATATTTTACATTTTATGTACTAAGTCTTTGAAATCCAGTGTGTACTTTGTACTTGTTGAACATCTCAATTTAGTTTAAGCTACATTTCAAGTGCTCAATGGTCACATTTGGCTAATGGATACTACATAACAGTAAAGCTTTATAAAAATGGATTTCATTTAAATCTCTACTGTTTAAGTTGAATATTTGTACTTTGGACACTTCCTAAAAATGTAAATATAGACTATAATGATAGACTCACAAAATCTTCCAGATATCAGGTTATTCAAGGACATCTAAATTCTCCTATTAATACTTTGAGGTTAAACATTTTATGTGATAGTATGAAGAAGGTTGGAAGGAAATTATTTTTTCTAGTATTCATAGGAAGAAATTGGTGAACGTTAAGAACAGAGAAAAAAATCCAAAATGTTTAAGAATAATAAATTTAGGCCGAGATGATGATGATGTTTATTACAATTTAAGTGAAAAATACTGTGATAAACACTACAGACGTTTCATTTGTCCTCACAACAACTCTTTGAGAGCAGCACTTTTGTGATCTGTTTTATAATCCCTGTTTTACCAGTGATTAAGATGAAAGCAATTAAGAAATCTTTGCAAAATCACACAGATAGTGACTGTATGCAAACTTTTGCATGACTCTTGAATTCTGAAACTTACCCTCTTAATCACGCTTCTCTATTTATTGCCTGGTTCTTTTATGCCTCCATGATTGCCTTGGGCAAACTGGACATGGAGAAATTATACAAATGAAGAGAAGTTGCAGCCAACTCCTAAAGTGTTGCAACTATTCCACTACTTTCTGTTTACTCTGTCAAATTTTCATCAGTAGTCTGAAAAGGAGAAAATGACTGGCGTTGTAATCACCCATGAAAAGCTGACTTTTGCCCTCCCATTTTGTCAGTAATGCCTTGTGGCATTTATGTCACAGTAGTGGAGCTGGTGAATACCACTCTTGGAGCTGAGGTGTGATGATCCATCTTCTGCTAACAATCAGTGCCACAGCATGAAAAGATTATTATTATTTTTCTTAACCAGCTAATCTTGCCATGAGACCCATAAATCCACTTTCATGTAATTTCTGCTTTTTGTTTTCAACTCTGAGTTTCAAGACTCAAAAACAATTCCCTGTTGAGTACCTAAGTGCTCATATTGATATTCCTGGTACATTGAACAGGACTTAAATTTCTGTTGTTTCTACAAAGTCCAGGAGTAGGTCTGCCTTTCACTACAATTCACAGATCAGATGTGTGCAGATGTATCTGTTTCAGATTTATCCTTTTATATATCCATGGTATTTTTGCTCTGTACATTAGACGTTTGTGAGACAGTATTTGGGGGAAACTCTAGTTTAGTGTGGATGTGATTAATTATGCCTTGCTGTCTTGGTCATTCCCCAACCCCTGCATTCTCCAAAATTAGATTGATTTAATTGGATTTAAAATGGGATCATTTAAATTTGGTTGCGTAAATATGTGTTTTGTATGTTTTGAAAGTCTTAACCTTTCTCTTTTCAGCCTATAAATTATTGAAATTCTGTTAGCTTTATAATTTTCTGTTTACTGTGATTTTAAGCTATATTGGAAAACTAGCCATGCTGGCCTCTTATGTTTAATGAGTGAGATAATATGAGAGGGAAAATTCCTCAGGTGCGACTGTGTTTTAATTAAGTTTTATGTAAGTTTATTGAACAAATGCAACCATTAAAAGATGCTTTTGGCTGGGCACGGTGGCTCATGCCTGTAATCCCAGCACTTTGGGAGGCCGAGGCGGGCTGATCACCTGAGATCAGGAGTTCAAGACCAACCTGACCAACATGGAGAAATCCCGTCTCTACTGAAAGTACGAAATTAGCCAGGCATGGTGGCACGTGCATGTAATCCCAGCTACTCGGGAGGCTGAGGCAGGAGAATCACTTGAACCAGGGAGGCAGAGGTTGTGGTGAGCCGAGATCGTACCATTGCACTCCAGCCTGGGCAGCAAGAGCAAAACTCCGTCTCAAATTTAAAAAAAAAAAAAAAAAAGGATGCTTTTATATATTTTGTGTATCGTGAATTCTCTTATAGCAGAATATATAATTTAAGACCATCACCTCAAAACAAAACAAAAACACCAGATTACTTTTGTGTAGGCAGAGTTTGTTATACACAATTGCAAAATTCTGTTTTCTTAGAAGGCACTATTATATGTACACTTAGGTGTTTAGAAACCTGGAGAAAACCTCAAATTTTCATGAAAACAGAAACTTAGCACTATATTATTACAAAGGAAGTAGGACTTAAAGGGGTTTTTAAAATTATATTTTAATGGCCTTTGATTAAAGACCTATCTCAGGACCTACCTAATTTCCTACCGAATTTCTCCCCCACCCCCTGCCCACCTGCCTTTGCTTGTGTTTTTTCTCTAACCTAACCTCTTCATCTATAAACTACTTTTTAGAATTTTCTTGGCTTTGCTTCTCTTTTCTGCCCCTCCATGTGATAACCCTTCAGATTCCAAGAAAAAGACTTTATTATTCCAAAATGCTATGCCCTTATCACATTCTTACTTTAAAACCCCTTCAACAACCTTAATAAACTTTAATTACATACTTTTATGAACCTGGTCAAAATGTCAGAATGTTTTAATATATTCAACATTGTTAAACTACAAATGATAAAGATATTAAAACAACCAGGTCTTTGACTTTTTTTGTGATTATCACATCCTACTTCTAAACCTCCAAGCTTAAATTATTTTCCGACTACAATCTCTAATTCTTCCACTTTACTCCCTAGTTGCTCATTCCTACTGATTGTCATCTTCCTTTCATCCCAGACTTCTATTTCAGTTCCCCAAGTTCACCTCCCCCTGTGGCTCAGCAGGCTTCTCTATTCAACCTAGACCTGTTGTCTGGCATTTCAACAACATTCTAATAACATTCTAGAATCCTGTAGTCTGTGTTTCTAAAGCATAACTCTCTCTATTCAGTGCCATTGTATTGCTCAAAAATCTTTAATGCTCCACATTGCCTACCTTCTCCTCTCACCCTTCATTTAGAAGAGACCTCCCCTCTGCGGGCTTGAGGAACAATTGTTTTGAGCATTGTGGCACTCATCACATTATCCTCCCTGGACTATGTCTGGATCCTTCACTGCTTGGACCCTTCCTTGGCCACAAAGGTGCTTAATAAATGTACGCTGAGAAATAGGGGGGTCGTACAGGGATTCCTGAAGGTGTGTGCGTGGTGTTTTTTTGTTTGTTTGTTTTAGTAATTAGAATCTTTTACATCCAGATAAGGACAACAACAGGGATGTGGAAAAAAAGTGTCTTATAGAGAGAGAATCTGACAATCTAGTGATATTAGAAAAGTAGTTTGTCCTGGGTTTTATGCATTTATATGGTTCTGTTTCGGTAGTGAAGGTGTTTATTTTGCTGTTACAGTGCAGTAATTGTTACATTTTAGCAAAAATACACTATATCCTTTTACAATCCAGTGTCTTCAGTTAGATTTCTAATGTAATTGAATATTCACTGAACCACATCTTTATTGTTTTCACTACTTTTCTATAACCTGAGAAAACTGATATTTCACCCTTAATGCCTTTCACCTGATACTTTAGCAAATAAATTATGCATAGGGAGTGTAAGTAAATCACTGCAATTCCTTATCCATTACCACACATATTTATGGATGAAAAAAATTGATGCATAGCTTGCCTTGTCTTTTTTCCTTTTAAACTTGTGGAAAATTAGTGGCTAAACTGAGAATTAAGGAAATCAAATTCAGATTTTTCAAGATTCTCTGATTAATCAAACATTGCCCTTTATATTTGGCAAAATAGTCGTTAATGACATAATTTGAATTTTGTGACCCATTAAAATGTTCTTTGGTCTTCTATATTGAAAAAATGGTATTTGTGTTACATCTCACTTTATTCTTTTATGAAACATTAGGAGTAGGAAAGTTTTTATGCTTACTGAATCCCTTATTTAAAAAACTATGTTGGTGACAGTGAATGTCTCTCAAAATAAAGCTGTGAGTATTTTAAATGGACAGAAAACTGTTTTCTGCTGGGTTTGCATGTGTTTATAGATGTTGAAGCAATTAGAAATGTTTTTTGCATTTAAAAATGACTTTCTGTGTTTTCCCAATATAATTACTAAGACATGTTCCCTCATAAAATCGATCATTTTCAAATCATGAAAATAAGAATATATTTTGACAATTCATTAATATAGCAGCTTCATTTATTTGGCAGCAGTATGATAGAAAGCTGGCGCTGAGCTCTGAATGGAGAAGGGTGCGTCTCTTTCCCTGGCTACCTGTTAGGATTCTCCTTTAGAACCATCTTTTGGCACTTCCAGGTAAAAGCCAGTTTCATGAGCAAATGTGAATTGCTTTTAAGGGTTTTTTTATTTTATGGCAGCATTATTTGTTTTTCTTATACCTTGATTTTTGAGCTTCTGTCAATGATTCATTATTATGAGGAAAAAACTGTTCACCTGGAAACATTGTAAAGATGAGTGAAGAAAATTTATTATCAAAACTTGTATTTTCATAATTTCTTTGTAAGTTTATTCCTGAATTACAGTTTTATTGTTTAGGCTAAATAGTTTTTATCTTGTGGAAAGTGAAATCGTGGCTTGGAAGCACTCAGTCACTCAGGCTAGAAACTGATCTGTTATTCTTGACTTTTCTACCTCCTTCATCAAAGCATATCCATTCTTTTCCAGAAAATTTCCTGAACCCATCTATTGCCTTCCTTTCTCCATCGTTACCACTACTTTACTCAGGCTCTCACCTTTCCTCGCCTGGATGTAACATTGCCTACAGTATTCTTCCAGTTAGTTGCCAGTCCCTCCCCTTTCTAATTATTTCCCCACACTGCTTTGTTTCTCAAGTGTAAACTGGATTATGTCAGTTCTTGCCTCACATATTTTTCATGATTTTTCACTGCCTGCAGAGCATGGGATACAGGCTTCTCACCATCTGCCTTTCTTGTGTTGTATCTAACAATCCCCCTGCCCCCCAGCTATCCTTAACTAGTTCAAATAGGTTTAAGTAGCTGTGATGTTTATTATCACTTCCTCTAATGCAGACATAAGTAAGCCTTTCTGATTATAGATGAGTAGAGGAGAAATGTCATTCCTAATTCTGATACTTGACATCTTCATTTCTATCATATTCTTCCCCACCCCCATGGGTTCCATACTTGCCCACACTAGGCTGGTGGCCTTCTTTCTGTTACGTATATGTTTTTTTATAGAGTTTTTATTTTTTATTTTTGAGACAGGGTCTCAATCCCTCATCCAGGCTGGACTGCAGTGATGTGATCATAAATCACTGCAACATCAAACTCCTAGGCTCAAGCAATCCTCCCACCTCAGCCTCCTGAGTAGCTGAGACTACAGGTGCGTGCCACTACACCCAGCTAATTTTTTTTTTTTTTTTTTGTAGCGATGATGTCTTGCTATATGTTGCCCAGGCTGCTCTCTAACTCCTGGGCTCAAGCGGTCCTCCTGCTTTGGCTTCCCAAAGTGCTGGGAATAGAGGCATGAGCCACTAGGACTGGCCAAAAATATTTTTAGAAGTTTGATGTCTACACAGTTTAAGTCTACTTATATTCTCTCTGTAGGCATTTATACCAATAAAGTCTTTGCATTCATCGTTGCTAGCATTCTCTTGCTTTCTTTTTTTCCTTGAAATTTAGCCCTTTTGTATATTCTAGTGAGGTGTGGAAGAACAAGCATTTTATACTGTCATTTAGGCAAATGTATATGTCCTCTTTATATGTCTTCTCTTTGTACTTAGTATAGTATGCATTAATCTGGGCTGAGAACAACTTCCTTGTGGCATAGTAATCATTTGGCTTCATTTATTCAATAACTATAATTCTGTTTGTACATCATTTTACCATTTATAGAGGCCTTTCATATTTGTTTATTTGATCTGAACAATCCTGTTACATCATTGTAATCACGACCTTCAGCTGATAGACTAAGAAGCTGAGACTTATAAGGGTCAATGGCATGGCCTAGTACTTCCCAGCTGGGTGATGGCTCCTCTACAGGATCATGCTGTTGTCTCTCTTACAATCCTGTCATTTCTGTACTTACTGGTCAAGAATGCAATTGCTCTTTGTGCTGGAGTGTGCTTTACTGATTTTAATTAGCACTTTGGATACATTATTTCATTTGATTTCCCAGTATTTCTGTTAATTTAGGCAGGGCTGGCATTATTAGTGCCATTTTACAAATAAGGATGATGCAAATCAGAATGGTTAAGTGACTTGTCCCAGTTTGCAGAACTGGTATTTAAAGAACAAAAACCAGCCGGGTGCAGTGGCTCACGCCTGTAATCCCAGCACTTTGGGAGGCCGAGGCGGGTGGATTACGAGGTCAGGAGGTCGACACCATCCTGGCTAACACGGTGAAACCCCGTCACTGCTCAAAAATACAAAAATTAGCCGGGCGTGGTGATGGGCGCCTGTATTCCCAGCTACTCGGGAGGCTGAGGCAGGAGAATGGCGTGAACCCGGGAGGCGGAGCTTGCAGTGAGCCGAGATCGCCCCACTGCACTCCAGCCTGGGCGACAGACAGAGCGAGACTCCATCTCAAAAAAAAAAAAAATAAAATAAAAAACCCAAGAACGTGTCTTCATACTCCTAGCCTACTGCCATTCCCAATGCCCCATGCTGTAAGACATGTTGGAAAAAGAAATAACATTTTTATTCCTGAGATTTCACTGAAACAATTATCTGGTTATGCTGTGTACTAAAGTCTAAAACATTAAAGTTAAATGGCAGCTATCAATTTAACTTTGCATGAGTTTTATATGCCATTGTGCTACTGCAATTAATGGAATGCATAGAATCCAATAACACATTGTCAGAAAGGTGTTACTCAAGGGAAAGATAATTCAAGGCAAGGGAAAATAATACAAGAGGAGATGTGTTTTAGGATATGGTCTCATAGGGGAAGAAGAAGAATTTTTTCTTCAAGTCCTATAGGTTGGAAAGGACCCATGTAACAAAAGACAGATTAATAGGAGAAAAACAAACAAGTTTATTAACATTTTGTATCAGTTTTCTGTGCTTATAACAGAATATCTGAAATTGGGTAATTTATAAAGGAAACAAATTTATTTCTTACAGTTATGGAGGATGGGAAGTCCAAGGTCCAGAGGGTGCACCTGGTGAGAGCTTTCTTGCTGGTAGGGACTCTCTGAAGAGTCTTGAGGTGGTGTAGGGTATCACATGGCGAGGGGGCTGAGTCTGTTAACATGCCAGCTCAAGTCTCTCTTCCTCATTTTGTAAAGCCACAAGTTTCCTTCCCATGGCAACTCATTAATCTATTAATCCTCTATCCATTAATCCCACCTCTCAATACTGCCACATTAGGGATTAAATTTAAACATGAGTTTTGGAAGGGACAGATATTCAAACCATAGCACATGTGTGTGCTATGGAAGACATATGCATGGAAAACATCCAGAAAGTAAGTAGTTCTCAAAAAAGGTGCTTTCAATTCAAGTTTACGTAGCAAATTCAACTAAGAGCAATACATTTCTAGAGAAGTGACATGGCAAAGGAAAAGGACTTTGAGTCTCTGGTGGCAGCAACTTGTGAGAAGGCAAATAAATGGCAGATAAAGACCAGTTGGTAAAGCTTGTTCATATAGTTTCCTCTGGTATCATCTCCACATAATAAGAATCTGAAGTTATCTTCACTGATCAACCTTTGTTCTCACTGGTAAAAGGTGGGCAGGATGACTTTTGTCTTTGTAAATCTGTGTTTTGCTTTTAGGCAGATAGAGGGAGGGCAGAGAGCTTTCCTGAATCTGCTTCTTCTTAAATTGCCTTCGCTCAGTAATCCTTCATATTTTGGGGGTGGCATCTTCTGGTTTCCCTCAGTATTAGTCTACCCATTCTGCTCTCAGAGTAATTCTCAGGTCCTTCTTAGCCTGTAGAAGGAGGACTTGTAGGGAGGGGAAATCTGTACCTTTTTTTTTTCTTTTTTTTGATACAAGGTCTTACTCTGTCACCCAGGGTGGAGCATGATCTCAGCTCACTGCATCCTACACCTCCTGGGCTCAAGCCATCCTACTGCTTCAGCCTCCTGAGTAGCTGGGACTACAGGCACACACTACCACGCCTGGCCAATTTTTGTATTTTTTGTAGAGACAAGGTTTTGTCATGTTGTTGCTTAGGCTAGTCTTGAACTTCTGGGCTCAAGCCATCTGCCTGCCTCAGCCTCCAAAAGTGCTGGGATGACAGGTGTGAGCCAGCTATATTGTGGTTTTGCTTCATAATCCATACCCATTGTTTAATCAGTAAAATTGATTGATTATGGAAACAACAGCCTGTCTACAGAGCATCTTGAGCGTATATGTGGTTCAGCAGGAAGAATCTGTAACTGAGCAGATAGAAAGTAGTATCTGGATTTTTTGTTTGTTTGTTTGTTTGTTTTTTTGAGACAGAGTCTCGCTCTATAGCCTAGGCTCGAATGCTCAGGCATGATCATGGCTCACTACAGCCTTGATCTCCCTGGCTCAAGCAATCCTCTTACCTCAGCCTCCAGAGTAGCTAGGACTACAGGCATGCCACCATGCCCAGGTTTTTGTTTTTGTTTTTGTTTTTTTTTAATTTTTATTATTTGTAGAGACAGAGTCTTACTCTGTTGCCCCGGTGGAATTCTTTATGATCATAATGACTCTTCACTCCAGGGTTTCCCTTTAGTTGTGGTATTTGTATAATCTTTGGTTTGATTGTGAATTTCTATGTAATCTAGCAGCTGTTTTTTGCTATGTCACACCTGCATGCACCTGAGTCTGTGTTCATGGAGTTGGACATGAGTAGTGTGTTGTGTGAAGGAGGTGAAACATTACTGAGGTGGGTGGCTTAAGGTAGTATATACCAAGTTATGTTTCTTAATTTGAAGATAATCATGCAGGAAAATTTATTATAGGGAAAAGGATGATATGGTGCAGTGAAAAAATGGGGAATTAGGAATCAAAAGGTTTGAGTTCCCACTGTACTGCTGACTTGCTTTCTGATCCTAACAAGTTTCTAACTCCTCCAAGCCTCCATTCATCAAATGATATACAGAAACGCTCTTTCAGGGTGTTGCAAGGATCTAATTAGAGGCTATTGAGGACTCTTTGTACACTGTAAAATGCTATTCAGATATTATTTATTTTAATAAACAGTGATTGCTTTATGTCAGGCTCTTTAACAAAAATTCTTACAATTCAGACCTCCTATCAACACTGCAAAGCAGGCATTATTATCGCCATTAGTCAATAAGGCACCTGGCATACAGAGAGTAACTAAGTAACTTGCTCACCTACTACTTTTAAGTGATGATTCCCAATTTAAGTTCCAGCTGCTTTTTTGCTATGTTGTCGTGCTGTTAATAAAGGATAAATGGTAGAGGTTTGAACTTTAACAACTTGGATTATGCTTCTAAAAAAATGGAAGTGGTGCTCTAGACTAGGAGTCAGGAGGTTCAGACTGTTACTATATTTTTCAATTATTTTGGGGTAAGTTACTTAAATTAATTTCATTAAATACGTTTAAAACACTTGGCTATGTTTCTGCTAAGGTTTACATGTAAAATGCTTTCTTATTTTAATCATATTCATAATTTTAAAAATTTCCTTCAAAGGGATCAAAAGTATTTTGTGAATCTGTTTTAATATATTTTTTTCTTTTTTTAAAGTCATTCCTACACTGGCCAAGATTACAGTACCCAGGGAAATGTTGGGAAAATTTCTTTAGATCAGATTGATTTGGTAAGTAGAACATTCTTTTAAACTTAGAACTTTATCAGTGGAGAGAACATAGATTTTCTTAAATCAAAGACTTTTGGGTGAGGAGATAGAATACTATTTCACTGCTTGCTGATTAATTTTAAAGAAAATCCCATGTCCTACTTATATGATTTTAAAAAAATCATAGGAAAATCATTTAATCAGAAAATTATCTGTACTTTTATGAAAACCGAATTTAATCAACTATTCCAAACAGGAATTCTTTTAAATAGCTAAATGGAGTTTGTGTTTACATTTAAATACTGCATACATTTAATAAAGGGGAAATGGAAAACACTAAGTGTATTAGTTTGTTGGGGCTGTCATGACAACAGAAATTTATTTTCTCACAGTCTAGAGGCTCGAAATCCAAGATCAAAGAGATAGTAGGTTTGATTTCTTCCAGGGCCTTTCTTGTCTCACAGATGGCTGCCTTCTCCTTGTGTTCTCCTGTGGTTTTCCCACTGCTTGCATACATCCCTGGTGTCTCTTCTTTTTGTAAGGACACTGAGTATGTGAGACCAGAGCCCCACCCCCATGGCCTCCTTTAATCTTAATGAGTTCTTTAAAGGCCCCATCTCTAAATATAGTCACATTTGGAGCTACTAGAGGTCAGGACTTGATATATGAATTTCAGGGGGAGAGGACAATTCATCAACTAGTGTAGGCTATGAGATTAATAGGTAGCTTATTTTAGCATCATTTGACTTTGTGGTTCCATAGGGTAGTGTACTTTGCCATACTTGTAGAATTTCTCTTTAATACATAACAGCATTTGCACTCCATATACAAAGGGAAAATAAGCCAGCCATAAATAATCTTGGGTTGGACGACTACCAAATTATTCACAATAAATTAAAAATACACAGGGATTTTAATGCTTGGAAACAAGAACTGTAATAAGACTAATAGAGAAAGACCGTGAGGTTGGATCAGAATGAATAGGTCATCTTCCATTTGAAAAATTACAAAAAAGTACTTGCAGTTAATATGTCTAGAAATAACAATAGGGTTGCCTACTTTACACAGTTGATTTGTTGATTTGAAATTTGTTCTCAAAGATGTCCCATCTTTTAATTTTTTTATTAAACACTTATCTCTAACAGTCCCCTTTCTCACTTCCACTCATGTGATTTGTGCTTATATAATGTGAATGGTTGGAGGTTAATTCTGTTCTTAGTTCTAGCTAGATGTTTCCCCATTCACAAGCAAATGTGAATTTGGTTGGATACTGTTGGAGTTCATAGAAATATTAATTCATTTAATGGATATGTATTGAGCCCATCAGTTATGTAGCAGCCATTGTGCTGTGGATACAGAAGTGAGGAAAACAGAAAATGTCCCTGCCTTCATGGACCTTACATGAGGGAGAGGGACAACATAATAAATAATGAGCAATATAATGTTAAGTGCTATGATGATGATCCTGTTATGGGTCTGTTCCTGAGACCCCGTGGTGAGTAATACAGATGTATCTTTTTTTGGACTGCCTCCTAACTCTGTATCTATATTGTTTGATCTTCACAACAGCATGTCATTTGCATATCCCTTGGTATTTGCAACTCTTCTCCAAATGTTTTCTTTAGTTTTTTCTTCTAACAAATCTGGCTTTCTCAATGCTGTTTCCCCTGTGGGCCTCTTCAAGTAGAGACAACTTTCCCCCCCGAGTTCGTATATAGGTATGCGGTGAGTGTCTTTCTTGGTCCACATTTCTCTGCCTTCCATTGTTACAGTTCCAGCTCCTTTAAAGCCCTTGTGATCTTATTATATCATCTGATACCTCCTTTGTTGCTATTCCACCCCCTCCCCCCACACCTGTATTCGTTGATGATTTGAACACCTAGCTAATGGTCTTGTGTACTGGCGCTATTCTTATTATTGTTCTTGGCCTCTGCAAGATCCAAGTTGATAATTTATCCCCTATCCTGGACTTATGATTCTTTTGTTTGCTTGTTTTCCATGATCATTTTTCTATCTGTATATAGCCAGACACTATCTTTTTAATTTTTATTATTTGGACTACTGCCCACACCTCTTAAGTATCCCTCCTGCTTCCGTTCTTACTCTCATACAGTCTTTTCACTACATAACAGCCAGAGTTCTCTTTGTTTATTGAATCACATCAGTCTTCTGGTCAGAACCCTCTAGTGGGTTTTCATCATATGTAGACTTAAATCCAAACTCATGTTGAGGCCTCTGAAGCCATATGTGCTCATCATTTCTATTTTATCTTCTGCTCCATTCCGGCTCACTCACTTGCTCTGGTCACATGGATCTTATGTTCTCTTTTAGCACACCACGTTTATTCCTTCTCAGGATCTTCATTTCACTAGCATCCAACTTACTTTGTCTTACTTGAAATGCCATCTCCTCAAAAAGGCTTCCCTGGCCACCCAAATTGAAGTACTTCTCCCCTAATCACACTTGATTTCATTTCTCTATTTCACTTCCAGTGTTTTGGCATCAGATGTTATCTTTTTAATGTCTGTATTCATTGTCCGTCTCCTCCTATTAAAAATAAGCTCTTCGAGGACAGGGTTTTTGACTTCTTTGTTCACTACTGGTTCCCCAGGGCTGTACACATAGTAAGTGTTAAATAAATATTTGTTGATTGAATGAATAAGAAGTAATCAAGGAATGTGCCAAAAGAAATAGAAATTGAGTTGGGTCTTGAATGATGACTTGGCTTTGGCTACATGGCATGTGCATGAGAAGGGTGCGCCAGGCAGGGCTAGCAGAGTGAGAAAATTGAGAAGCTACAGAGCATGACTGTGTGGTCATGGGATAGTGAATAATCCAGTGGACTGGAGCCGAGGACTCATTTTGGTGTAGTGATAATATACTGGGCTTTCCCAGGCTCCCTGTCACAGTGCTTCTGTGGTGCTCAAGTTTTGCCCTTGTTGGAGCCCTCCTTTTATCATTTATTTCATGTGTTTAACTTACATAGTAGTGAATATAATAATTGTTGTGTCTTTTTCCTTAACTGAATTAAAGGGGACAATTAGGTCCCAGCTTATTTTCCAGAACACTTAATAAATAATTGTTCTGTTATGTATAATTGAAAAGTAGTTATTGGCCAGGCACAGTGGGTCATGCCATCTAGCCAAGGTGGGAGGATCACCTGAGGTCAGGAGTTCGAGACCAGCCTGGCCAACATGGTGAAACCCTGTCTCTACTACAAATACCAAAATCAGCTAGGCATGTTGGCAGGCACCTGTAATCCCTGCTACTCAGGAGGCTGAAGCAGGAGAATCGCATGAACCTGGGAGGCAGAGGTTATAGTGAGCTGAGATGGCACTGCTGCACTCCAGCCTGGGCAACAGACTGAGATTCCATCTCAAAAAAAATAAAAAAAGAAGAAAAAAAAAGAAAAGTAGTTACCAGATATTGAGGAAACCTTGCATGTTCATACTAAGGATGTTGAATATTGATTGTATGGATTAGAACAATGTTTAGAAAAAAATCAGATATTAATATGAAGGAACAAAAATGGTCTCATGAAAATGAGCTGAAAGGCTTTCTAGTTAGTTCTACCAAGGGAGGATATAGGTCTGAATGAACTAGACTGGGGATGGAAACATTCAGAAGTTGTTACTGTAAAAGAATGAAGAGAAACTAGATGGTCACTAGAGGGAGCAACAAAGTCAAGCAAAGTGAGACCTGCTCTTTCTTATAGATGAAGTGAACTTGCTAAGGCATATGTGAGGGAGTAAGAATTTAAGTCTTGGGAGGTTATTTAAGGAAGTCATAGAGAATGCAATTGAAACTGTAAGTGAAAAATTAAAGTAGGCAATGATATTTCATTTTTGGCACTAAGGCACTAACTACACTTTGTTCCTTTTAACTTGGTTTCTTTAACATACTTATTTGAATTTTCCTTATGAGAAGTTTCTCTTATTTTTGTCTTCTGCTTTGTATTTAAGTTATCTTAAAAGTTCATCTGCTATTCAGTAATTGTACTTTTATCTCAGGGAAATGAAATCTTATGTTCACATAAAAACCTCTTAAAGAATGCTCATAATAGCTTCATTTGAAATAGCCCAAACTGGAAACAACCCAAGTGTTCTTCAATGAGTGAATAAATAAATTATGATACATTCATACCATGGAAAACTAGTTAGTAATAAAGAAATGAGCTTATATACAACTTAGGTGAATCTTGAGGGAATTCTGCTGAGTAAAAAACAACAATCTCAAAACAATACATATTATATGATTCTATTATACTCTTGAAATGACAAAATTATAGAGATGGAGAACCAGATCAGTGGCTGCCAAAGATTAGGGAGCTGAGGGAGGGGAGCAGGGTGCAAAAGATAGATGGGGGTGGTTATAAAATCATGAGAGATCCTTGTGGTGACAGAACTGTTCTGCATCTTGACTGTGGTGGTGGATGTATGAACCTACATGTGACAAAACTGTATAAAATTTAATACGGAAGTAAGTGCATGAGTACAACTGAGGAAACCTGAATAAGACTAGTGGATTGTATCAATGTCAGTATCCCGTTTGTGATAATCTACTGTAGTTGTACATGATTTTATCTTTGGGGGAATTTGGATATATGCTATCTCTTTGTATTATTTCTTGTAACTGTATGGGAGTCTATAGTTAACTTCAAAGAAAAAGTTTAATTAAATTAAAAAAACAGGTAAAATAAATTTTAATAGTATGTTATTTAATCCAAAGTATCTAAAATATTATATTAACTTGTAACCAATAAAAAATGTTAATAAGAAACATCTTATACAGATAAGAGTCATCTGTAACCACAGTAATAAAGTGGCACTTTCTTATGGTGTTTGTTTTTTTATTCCAATTACATTGAATTAGCAACCATAACAAATATTACAGGGGACCTGATAAGTCTTCCACTTAACTTAAAACTCTACTGTTTTTTCTTGTAGCTTTCTACCAAATCCTTCCCACCTTGCATGCGTCAGTTACATAAAGCCTTGCGGGAAAAATCACCATCTTCGTCATTGAGGCCGAATGCAGTATGACCTATTTCTGAAGGGCATTGGTTTAACTTTGGAACAGGCATTGTAGTTCTGGAAGCAAGAATTTATCAAAGGAAAGATGGATCCAGACAAGGTAATTTTGAAAAAAAATATCAGAGTGGTACCTGATATTTTAATTTGCTCTGAAAATGAAACGGTCTATTTTTTTTTAAAATATGCTCCCTGCAGTGTAGTTGAAAATTCTAAAAGGATAAATGTGTTGACAATTCAGTTTAGATAAAAAGAAACTTGCATATTAATCTAATATAAAAGATTGGGAAAGGAATGTTTTCCTTTGTAGGTATACTGCCAGTAGTAATTATAAGACTGAAATTGCTTTCAGAGTTATATATCTGTAGGAATGTATGTGTGTCTATACATATGCACATAATGTTTTGAGCACTGGGAGATATCATGAACAAATAAAATGAAACAATTTAAAATATTTTCTATTATGTTATGCAGAATCTTTTATAAACTTTTGTTTTTTTTTTCGAGACAGGGTGTTCTTCTGTTGCCCAGGCTGGGCTGGAGTGCAATGGTGCAATCATGGCTCACTGCAGCCTCGACCTTTGGGCTCAAGTGATCCTCCCACTTCATCCTTCCCAGTAGCTAGGGCCACAGGTGGACACCATTATGCCTGGCTAATTTTTTTCTTTTTTTAATTTTTTGTAGAGATAGAGTCTCACTATGTTGCCCAGGATGGTCTCAAACTCTTGGGCTCAAGCCGTTCTCCTGCCTTGGCGTGCTGAAGGGTTGTGATTACAGCTGTGAGCCTGAGTCATCATACCTAGCCTATAGAACATTTTTAGATGGACAATAATTACTATAAACCTGAACAACTTTTTAAAAACCCTATCTGCAGTGCTTATATTCCCAATCCTATGCCTTATTTCTCTTTAATAGTGCCAGCTAATAACATTTTACTTGGAAATATGATTTCTTGCCCCTTCTATGCCATGACACTGTGGTATGAAGACCATTTTTTACTGTTTATTTCTTGATTTGCTGCCTCCTAAAAGTAAATTATAGAAGAAAGAATATTTACCAGGTACATTTTATAGTACTTTATTATGTTTTATGTTAGTTTGCAAGCATTGCCAAAATAAAATACCACAGACTGGTTGGCTTAAAAAACAGAAGTGTATTTCCTCACACTTCTGGAGGCTGGAAGTCCAAGATCCAAGTATTGGCAGATTTGGTTTCTCCTGAGGCCTGTCTCCTTGGCTTACAGGTGGCCTTCTTCTTGCTTTGTGCTCACATGGCCTTTTCTCTGTGCATGTGCATGCCTGGTGTTTCTTCCTTTTCTTATAAATACACTAGTCTTACCGGATTAGGGCCCCACACTCATCTGATCTCATTTAACCTTAATTATCCCTTTAGAGGCCCTATCTCCAGTTACAGTTGGATTTGGAGTTAGGGGGTTCAACAAATGACTTTTAGGAGATCACAATTCAGCTCATGTCTGTAGCTATATACTTTATTAAAAAGCTTAGATTTTTAAAAATAACATTATAAAAAGCTGTTACAGTTTTTTCAGATTTGTTTTAAAAACTGTCTTCATCGACAATTATCCATAGAATCTTAATGAAGTCATTTAATAGGATTTTCTTTGAGCAGTTTTGGATAATGTTTTTTATATTTTTTTAAAGGTAATTTATTCTAATTATAGAAAATATAAAAAATACAGAAAAATTCACCTGTTATCCTCCAATTTGAAATAATCACTGTCAACATTGTAGCCTTTTACTCTAGTCTACAGAACTAAACACCACTGATTTTCACCATTCTAAAAATTGTCATTATATTATGATTATTTTTCCATATTTTTGACCAATCTTTGAAAATATCTTAATGAGTTACATAATATATCCTTTGAAAGTGATGTAATTTGTTTAATCATTCTCCTATTGTTGGACATTTGGTTGTGTCTAATTTGACTCTGTTATATATGTTACTAATATAAATAACAGAGTCAAATAGCTAATATCCTGTGGACATAGATAATTGATTATAGTTTTGATTATATTCTTTGTGTGTGTGTGTGTGTGTGTGTGTGTATATATATATATATGCATTCACCAGGAAATAAAATTATAAGAAACTACACACAGCTGGGCAGGTTGGCTCACGCCTATAATCCTAGCACTTTGGGAGACTGAGGCAGGTGGGTCGCCTGAGGTCAGGAGTTCAAGACCAGCCTAGCCAACACGGTGAAATACCGTCTCTACTAAAACTACAAAAATTAACTGGGCATGGTGGAAGGTGCCTGTAATCCCAGCTACTGGGGTGGCTGAGTCAGGAGAATCACTTGAACCTGGGAGGTGGAGGTTGCAGTGAGCTGAGATCGCACCACTGCACTCCAGCCTGAGTGACAGAGCAAGACTCCATCTCAAGAAAAAAAAAAAAGGAAACTACACACAATTTTAAAGTTTTAATGCATGCTGTGAAATGACTGTTCAGAAAGGTTTTAAATTAGACCCTCTTCAAGCGATGTGAGAATTTTGCTCTGCCATTGACATCATTATGCATTATTAATTTAAAACAGTTTTTGATCTTTTTATTAGGAATTTGATGTCTTAAGTAGGTAGATATATTAGGGTTCTCCACAGAAATGGAACTGTGTGTGTGTCTGTCTTTCTATCACTTACACATGCACACAGACATACACACACTCTCTCACACACACACACAGAGTGAGAGATAGAGAGAGAGATGGGGGTTATGGAAGTTGACAAGTCTCAAGATCCGCAGTTGGCAAGTTGAAGACCCAGGAGAGCCAATGTTGTAGTTCTAGCCTGAATCCAAAAGCCTGAAAACCAGAAGAATGATAGTGTACAAGGTGATCCTTGAAATACACAGGTGTGAACTGCATGGGTCCACTTATATGTGGATTTTTTTCAATAAGTATATTGGAAAATTTTCTGGGGATATGCAACAATTCGAAAAAACTTGCAGATGAACCACATAGCCTAGAAATATCAAAAAAAGTAAGAAAAAATTAAGTATATATGAATGTATAAAATATATACTAGTCTTATTTACTAACATGAGATATACAGAAATTTATTGCAAAAAGTTAAAATTTATCAAAACACATGCACACAAATGTACAGACCATACATGGTGCTATTCCCAGTAGAGAGAAATGTAAACAAATGTAAAGATGCAGTATTATCTTTTATGCAGTAACCTACATAAAATTAACTGTAGCACATTCTGTGCTACTATAGTAATTTAATAGCCCCACCCTGTTGCTATTGTGGTGAGCCTATAAGTGTTGCAAGTATCTGCTTAAAACGCTCTGTGATGCTAATCATCTCAGCGTAAGCAGTTTGCACAGTAAATTGTATATTACAGTAAAGTGATCTCTCACAGTTCTCGGGTATTTTTCATCGTGTTCAGTGCAATATCATAAACCTTGAATAACACCGTGGGGCTCATAGGAAGTGTCACTAGTAATGCTGGAAATGCTTCCCCAAATCAGAGAAAAGTAATGATATTACAAGAAAAAGTTGAATTGCTTGATATGTAATATAGATTGAGGTCTCCAGCTAAGGTTGACTGCTATTTCAGACAGATGGTTCATCTTGTAAATAGATAATGTAAACTTATGGTATTGATCAATGTAGTACAGTACTGTAAATGTATTTTCTTATGACTTTCTTTCTCTTTTTGTATTTTTAGTTGAGACGGGGTTTCACCATTTTGGCTAGGCTGGTCTTGAACTCCTGACCTCAGGTGATCTGCCTGCCTCAGCCTCCCAAAGTGCTGGGATTACAGGTGCGAGCCACTGTGCCTGGACTATTATGACTTTCTTAATGTTTTTTTTCTCCAATTTACTTTATTGTGAGGTTACAGTGAATATATATAATACAGTGAATATATGTAATATTCAAAATATGTGTTAATCAGCTGTTTATGTTATCGGTAAGGCTTATGGTCAACAGTAGGGTTTTAGTTGTTAAGTGTTTGGGGAATAAAAAGTTATACATGGATTTTTAACTGTATGGGGTGAGGGGTGGAGGTTGTTGCCTATAATCTCTGTGTTGTTCAAGGGTCAGCTTTAGTTCCAGCTCAAATGCCAACAGCTTCGAGACCCAGGAAGAGTCAATGTTTCAGTTTAAAAAATGAGGTCCCAGTTTAAGGAAGTCAGACAGAAGGAAATTCCCTCTTACTCACAGGAGGTCAGGCTTTTTGTTCTGTTTAGGCTTTCAACTGATTGGTTGAGAATTATTCACATTAGGTAGGGCAATCTGCTTTACTTTAACTACCAATTCAAATGTTAATCATATCCAGAAACACCCCCTCAGACACACCCACTGTAATGTTTGACCAAATGTCTGGGCATCTCATGGCCCAGTCAAGAACTGGGTTGTTGTTGTTGTTGTTGTTTTTTTTTGAGACAGAGTCTCGCTCTGTCACCCAGGCTGGAGTGCAGTGGCACAGTCTCAGCTCACTGCAACCTCTGCCTCCCAGGGTTCAAGCAATTCTCCTGCCTCAGCCTCCCAAGTAGCTGGGATTACAGGCATGCACCACCATGCTCAGCTAATTTTGTATTTCTAGTAGAGATGGGGTTTTGCCATGTTGCTCAGGCTAGTCTTGAACTCCTGACCTCAGGTGATCCACCCGCCTTGGCCTGCCAAAGTGCTGGGATTACAAGTCTGAGCTACTGCCACCATGCCCAGCTGGCGAGCTGGGTTGTTTTGAAGTGAAAAGAGAGAAGTTGAGCTAGCATTTTAGCTTGGTTTGTGCTGTAAACTGAGAGAAGAAAAAGCAAAGTAGAGAGGGAAAACCAGCTGCACCAGCCTATATGGATTCTTACCCTGAGTACTAAGTCTTTGGCTTGGACACTTGTTCATTGACCTGCCTTCTTTTATGTACATCTGGAATAGCCTGTGTAGCAATATCATCAGTAGTCTTTTAACTTGTATGTTTAAATTTTTTTATTATGGAATTTTTATTTTGCAATGCAAACTTTTTTCAAAAATTCTTATAAAAGAAAATAAATAATTTTTTTAGTTTTCTAGATAACATATAGTCTATATTTTTGTTAGCTTATTAATTACAGCAAATGTTATTTTAACTAAAGGATTATAAGACACATTTCTGACTTTCTATGACTATTTAGTGTTCTGTTGTTACATAGTCCGTATTGTAAATGTTCATGTTTTTCTCAACTATATCGTTTACATGTTTTTTCAATGACATGTAATAAACTAAGGCATACTAAATTACAATATTCTCTAATTGAACCATTGTATCTATTTGTTAAGTGATACATACAATTAAAAATATTCTTAAGAGGTATAAAAATTGTTGGCTTAAAATACTGCTTATAGGATATTTTTTAGGATGATTATAGAAGATGTTAAACATTTATTATAGTGTTAATTAAAGGACTTGGGTGTTGAACCCAGCTCGAATGATTTGAAATAACAGCTTCTGTTTGGACAGCTTATGTCCTAACAGTGTAAGAAAAGTGATGTGGTAACAGTCAATTTCAACTGGAATTTTTCTGTACTATTGTTTCCCAAATGATCATAATGTCTGATTTCTTTCTCTTAATATTTGTGTCCTCATTGTGACTTATTTGGGATACATTGCTATGTGAGTCTGAGCAAATATTTTGGGTACTTAGCCAGTACTTTTGAGTCAGCAGAGACTGGTATAATATCTCCAGCAATTTTGAGCTCTAACTCTGCAGCTACAACTACCTTTCCTAGATATACTGCCTGGAACCAAATATTTCTTTACCCTAACTTCGAACGCAGCTCTGTTCTTGAATTGACTGCCTGATTGGTATCTGTCTCTTCCTCCCATCTTTACTTACTTGTGCTTGTTGCAGGCATTTTTTTTTAACACTTTGCTTTTAAAACTAATGTTATACTTAATGTTGGAGGGGAATGTGTTGTCTGTATTCTAAAATAATTTACACCTGTATTAGTGTTTGTAACTGTCATCCAAAGTATAAATATTAAAGTATTGTGTCTCAGATACCTTTTATTAAGGTTAAGCAGTTTTTGTGTTATAATGCACATAATTTCTGTTATAAACATTTTTGAGTAGTAATAATGGATTGTGGAAGCAGCTTAAGGTTCTGATGCTCACTGTTATTTTTTTATTAGGAATTTGATGTTGTAAGACTTAAAGAAGGAGGAAAGAAACATGAAAAAGCAGCTCAACAGTCAAAGACAGGTTTATTTTGGAGAATAAACCTGAGTGGGGCTTCTGGCCGAGTTTGGTCAGTAATGCTGTCTCTTACAGACTGAGAGTATTTATTGGTGAGAGAGCTTGGAATGTTTCTGTGTGGGGGAGAAGTTTATGGCAGGGTTGGAATGTCTCTGGTCGGAGAGGAGATTATGTTGGGGCTGACATCTCTCCAGCTGGAGGGGAGGTTATGTCGGGGCTGGCATGTCTCTGGTCAGGGAGGGGTTTGGTGTGTTTCTGGTCACAGATGTTATTTGTGGTTTATGGTCATGCTGACTTTAGCCATTAAGCTGATGCCCTTTGGATTTAGGCAGTTTTTGATCAACGTAAATTTTAAAATGACGGTGCTTGTCCAAGACGGCAATGCTCCTGCTCTGTCAGATGTATTAAGTCAGTCCTATATACGTAAAAATTAGCCATCTGTCTATAAAACAGTTATTCAGAGTTACTAGTTTGGATTATTTTTCTTGCCTTTTGAAACTATTTTCCGGCTAGCATATATATTCCAATAAATGATATTGGTTATTTGCTACCAGCTTATGTTCTTTTAATTTTGGGTGCTTATGGCTACCTTATATTTATTGCTTATTTATTCATTTATTATCTGTATCCTACAATTAGAATGTAAACTATATAAAAGCAGGTATCTTGTCTTTCTTGTTGACTGCTGCATGTTCAGGCACCTAGAACAGTGCCTGACTCATAGCAGGCACTCAATAAATGTTTATTGAATAAACTAATACATGGAAATTTCCATATTATTTACATAGAAATAAATTCTCATACATGTTCATAGATATTATTTATTTATATTTTGCTGAATACATGGTAAATTCTACCAAATCTTTAAAGTTTGGCTTTTGATATGAGAAAAAATAATCTTTATCTGTTTTGGTTCTTTTTAGATAGAGCTGTTTCTAACAAGTTATAGAATTTAAGTCATTTTAGTTGCTTTTTTATTTCTAAGAGCAGTAGATCTCAGCATCAGCATCATTTGGGAATTTGTTAGAAATATAGATTCCCAGAATCAAATTTGTTGTCGTCCATGTATTTTTCTAAATAAAAATATGGATTGGTAGAATATACAAATATACAAATATTTAACATAGTATCATATTACGATTCTTATAAAAAGTACAGAGAAATATATTTGTGTGTATATGTATATACTTAGATACATACATATGTACATATTCCATCTACTTGGCATAGATCATTCAGCCGATTTTTATTGTGTGTTTATCATGAACATGTACCATTCTGAAGATACTGAAATAAAAGAAACAGCCCTTATTTATGAAGACTTTCCAAGACCTTATTTTATTTATTATAATTATTTTTGAGATGGAGTTTCGCTCTTGTTGCGCAGGCTGGAGTGCAGTGGCGTGATCTCAGCTCACCACAACCTTCACCTCATGGGTTCAAGCTATTCTCCTGCCTCAGCCTCCCAAGTAGCTGGGATTACAGGCATGTGCCACCAGGCCTGGCTAATTTTTTTGTATTTTTAGTAGAGGTGGGGTTTCTTCATGTTGATCAGGCTGGTCTCGAACTCCCGACCTCAGGTGATCTGCCCACCTCAGCCTCTTAAAATGCTGGGATTACATACGTGAGCCACCATGCCTGGCCCCTCCAAGACCTTATTTATGAGAGTCTTCCAAGAAATTTATTTGGAAAAACCAGATAAATACAAATGTACAGACAGAGAAAGAAGGGAATTTCATGTTAAAGGGACAACACTTTAAAGGACCTTAAAGTGTAGTCCATCCTGTAGGTGGTAGGAACCTGAACTGTACCAGTGTAATTGTGGCAAGAGGGGAGTCTGGAGACATAGATTTTTTAGCCTAATTACTAAAGATAGATTGAATTAGTAGGCCAGTAGGAACTGGTCTTGTTGGGTAGGTAGGTGCCAACCAGGATCCTGTCAGCCAGGATAGGGTCAATTGATAACTGGAATTTAGTCAAATATGTGTAGTTTCACAACTTTGAATATTTACTAAAATAATATAATGAATGTTGGATGCTATGCAGGTTTACTGAAAAGCAGAAAATAGTATGAGTAAAGTTTCCACTTGGTTCAAATTAATTTCACCTAACTTTGGATTTCTGATTATATAGGCCAACATTGATTTTTAAGAAACTATTTTGCTTTAAAGTAAATTTAAAAATTTTAATCTACTTGGTTATAGTTTAATTGAGAACGAAGGAATTGGAAAACAGTTCCAAAACACGATGGTAAAAAGGAAAGTTATTATTAAGGTGATGTGGAGTAAGATAGTTATTAGAGTGGATCGTGTTAGAGACCAATCTTGAATTAAGATTTGGAGAAAGTGAATGACATGGATTAGTTGAGAAAGAACTGACAGCAAGAATACACAGTGAACAAGGAATGAGGGGAAAGTAGGCAAAACATTGTTAACTCTTCCATTATTTTCTTTATTTTTATAATTATTTTAATAAAATAATTTTACAGTAATAATTCTTCCATTTATTTCTCGTTCACTTAGGCTTTTTATTACCTGTTTTTGGGATTGTTGTGGTTTTGACTGTTGTGATTTAAAATTCTCCATTTCCAGACTTTTTAAATTTACCTTCTCAGTATATTTGAATACTGTTTTATTTAGATGCTTATTATACTTGAGGATAGAGATTTTAGTATTAAAACATCAACCATTTCCAAGAGAACATTCCATTGTTGTATGATCTTATAGCAAACCAATTGCTTTTCACAGTATACCTTACTCCAAAAAACATTGGTTTCATAATGTAGGGTTTTTATCCTTAAATTGTTGAATATTAATATTGATATATTTAAAATGTTAAAATAAAGCTCTTTGAGTTAACCCTTGTCAGTGAAGGATGGAGAAATTTGAAAATTGCACTTAGGTTGCTGAATCAGATTTTTTGGATTTGTGAATGATTCACAAGAAGTATTTAAAGTTTTGAACGTCTTATTCCTGAAATAATTTCCCGTATTTCTGAAATAAATGCACCTATGCTTTATACAAATAAAATTTCATTAGTCAGAGTAAAGTTTTTCATGTTTTTCTTAGTTGTAATTATAATTTACAAGCCTGTCTACCTGAAAAAAGCATCACCCTGGGTGCAAGAGATATAAAATCAAACCTTTATTTATTTATTTTTTATTTTTAAAATTTCAACTTTTATTTTAGATATAGGGGGTACATGTGCAGGTTTGTTACCTGAATATATTTTGTGCTGTGACGTCATCTCCCAGGTAGTGAGCATAGTACCCAATAGGTAGTTTTTCAGTCCATCCTCCCTTCTGCCTCTAGTAGTGCTCCGTGTCTATTGGTCCTATCTCTATGTCTGTGGGTGCTCAATGTTTAGCTCCCACTTATACGTGAGAGCATGCACAAAACTCTATTTAAAGTATGAATACCATGAAAATATTCTTTTACTTGGCACTTGGATATTAAATCTCTTCGGCGACTAGCTTTGTTAAGTATTACATTGAACTGGATAATTCTTCTAATAAATTCAAAGCATGTGTCCTGTCAGATTGCTCATAGTGTTGTTATTCTGAATTGCTTTAAGCTGGTTTTATTGGATATTAAGTACAACATTGATAATGCACATTTTCTGTAGCTGTGGTTTCTGTCCTTGATGACAGCATGCTTAAGGTCTATTATATGTTGTTATAATTGGGTCAAGGAACATTTAGCACTGTTTAAAAAGCGTATCTTTTCTTCCAGAATCTAGCTTTCGTCAAGACTTAGAACAAACTTGTGTTGTTAAAAATTGACTACTGAAGGATTAAATATTTGGCTGATGGGATGTGAGTATATGAAACATTTATTGTTAGGATTTTTTATTTCAGGGACCACTAGATCTCAGCATCAGCATCATTTGGGAATTTGTTAGAAACGTGGAGTCTCAGAATCAAGTTCTGGGGTCAGGGCCCACAATTTGTGGTTTAACAAATCATCCAGATGAAATTGATGCACACTAAAGATTCAGAACCACTGTTTTAACTACTACCCTGTCATAGTCCATTTTCTAGTGCTTATCACAGAATATCTGAAAGTGGGTAATTTATAAAGAAGAGAAATTTATTTCTTCTAGTTATGACTGAGAAGTCCCAGGTCATGGGGCTGCATCTGTTGAGAGCCTCCTTACTTGTGGGGACTCTCTGAGGAGTGCCAAAGTTAGAGCAGGAGTGCCAAAAGTTAGAGCAGGAACCAGATTTCCTGGTCTTAGCATACAAGAAAATGGAGGCGATGGGAATAGAGTGTGTGTTTCTAAAGTTTAAGAAGTCAGGCAGGAAAGAAATAGAGCATACTAGGTATAGAGGGTGACTGTGCCAAGCAAGGTTTTCAAGTTGGGGTGGGCAGGAGCAGTAAAACTCATGGAAATGGAGGATGTGCTGAGAATACTTGAGGAAACAAGGCCTGAGGAGATGGAAAGAGAATTTAAAACATTTATTTATTATGTGATTATTATAATATGAACCTCTGTTTCCTATGTGATGTTCCCTGAGTGTAGAATTTGTTTCTTTCTTACCGTGATATACCCAGCACTTGAGATGGTACTGACAGATTGTATATGCTCAGTAAAATTTGTTGAATGACTGAAAGAATTGCATTAGGAGTTTAGTTTATCTCACACCTGATGGATATATGAAAAATTATGAATTGGTAAAGGAGTGTTTAAAAGTGGAAAGAAGAGCTGTGGGAGCTCACATCCACTGCTCATCTTTCCAATAAAGTAGGCAGGGGAATCGCTTACCAGAAGGATTTGGTGTATTTAGGGCTTAAAGAAAGTTGAAGAGTCTAGAATAACACCTTCCGTAAGTGTGCTAAGGCATTAATTAATAAAAAAAAAAAAAGATTGCTAAGCTACAGAATGGTTACAGTTTGAGTTCCTAGCATATGCTAGGCACTATAACTAATATTCTACATACACAATTTTATGGAATCCTTAAAACAATCTTAGGAGATAAGTATTATTTATGTTGAGTTTACTAATGAGAAAACAGTACTAGGCTATAAATTTGTAACTGGCTAAGTCAGCACTATTATGTTGCTTTCTCTAGCAGTGTCTTACGGCCTTAGAGCAAAAGCAGAGATGGCATAAGGTAAAGTTTATTCAGGTTTAGGAGTTAGCAAAGCAGGCATGCTGCTTTAAATTCTTCCTATGTTTTCTGTTTAATTTAATCTCACACCACCACCATGAGGTAAATATTATCTTCCTTCGATGGAGAGTTTAATGCGTTTTCCTCAGGCAGCAAAGGTGGTACATGATCAAACCTGGGTTAGACCCAGGTCTATTTTATTCCAAACCCTGAACTTCTCCCAGTACTCTCAGAAGGAACACTAGACTTAGTGTTTAGGTTGACACTGATAATGATAACTATGTAAACTTAAGAGAACACAATTAACAATAGAGATTTTTCCGTTCTTGAGGACAATAGTAATGTCTGCTAAAATATTGCAAAGAATTAAGTATATATGCGAAATACTATGTAATCTGTAATGTACTAAAGAAATATTGAATAATTTTAAAATGTTGATAAAGGGGTTATTCTATATCAGTCACATTTTCTCAATATATTTGTAAACCTGTTAACTTCTAGACACAAATATTAGTTTTCTAATTGCCTATGTTTTTGTTTTTCTTTCAAAGCAAAGCTTGTTTTGTTTGAATGTTCGTGTTAGTGAGATCCTAGGAAAGTAATTTGAATGTAATGAAAAAAATAGTTTCTTATGGCTCACGCCTGTAATCCCAGCACTTTGGGAGGCCGAGGCGGGCAGATGACCTGAGGTCAGGAGTTTGAGACCAGCCTGACCAACATGGAGAAACCCTGTCTCTACTAAAAAGACAAAATTAGCTAGGTATGGTGGTACATACCTGTAATCCCAGCACTTTGGGAGGCCGAGGCGGGCAGATGACCTGAGATCGGGAGTTTGAGACCAGCCTGACCAACATGGAGAAACCCTGTCTCTACTAAAAAGACAAAATTAGCTAGGTATGGTGGTACATACCTGTAATCCCAGCTACTCGGGAGGCTGAGGCAGGAGAATTGCTTGAACCCAGGAGGCGGAGGTTGTGGTGAGCTGAGATCTCGCCGTTGCACTCCAGCCTGGGCAACAAGAGCGAAACTCCGTGTCCCCCCTAAACCCCCCTCAAAAAAAAGTTTCTTGCAAAAATAGTCTAATATTTGTCATTATTATTTTTGGGCAGCAATTTTAAAGGTACCCTTAATAGCTACCAAGTCATCTAAAACATATTTTTGAAGCTTGATTGCAGTGAAATTTGTTATATTCTCTCTTATAAATATTTTGGTGTATAATAAAGATATGTGTATTTTAAGGGTTTAATTCTTCTCTTGATGCTTTCCATAGCATGTGGAATACCAATTCTAGATTACACAGTATAAGAATTAATATTTAAACATTAACTTGAACAGGTTGGGCTTGCTTTCATGAATTGTCAAGAGGCTAGCTAGTCAAAATTCAAATTAAATTATGTATTGGGTTAAGTCTATCATTAGAATAAAACAGGTGTTATTATCCTTCTCCTAACACTATTCTGGCAAAAATTAGCTTTAGTAAATTTAATTGCTCTTGATGTTGTACTCCAAATACTTTTTAATTCTTAAATTATGGAAATAAGATAAAAAATAGAAGACTTCAACTCTGTCATTCATTTATAAATGTCATTTTGCCAGTGATACCTTATGGATTATGCTGATATATTAAAATGAGATTAAAAAATAAAATGACATTTTATTCAACATTTTAAAAGGTGGGTCAAATTTTTGTTGCTAATATATGTGGTACTCTTAGGGGAAAATACAATAAAATATGTATCTTCTTAAGATGCCAGTTTAAGATATCAAGAGTATGTTTTAATTGGCCATATCTCTGGACAAATTGGGTACATATAAGCTCCAAAATGGGTCAGACTTCTGATACTGAAGGATTTTTCTTTGGAAGATTTATTAATAAAGATTAGGAATCTCAGGGGCTTGAAGTGTGGGGAAAGTATATTCTTGGCTTTCTTTAACAACCTGTTGTGTGTTTGTCACCCATCTTTTGCCTGTAAATATTTGTTGAATTTATTATTTTGTTTTTACTTAAAAAAATTACTTTGAACCATCTTTCCAGTTTGTTTACTTCTATGTAAAGTAGGATTTTATTTTATTTAAAAAAATAACCAAACAGTTATTTTGCACCTGCCTGTGCGCATTACTCTTTATAGTAAGAGAATATATAAGTTTAAACTGTTGTGGGGACCCAGAGAATGGTTGGGTTTAATAGCTTTAATAGTGCGATTGTTGTTGTTGTATGCAGCTCAATCAGAAAAGCAGGAATCCTAATCAGGAAAGGGCTAGAGGGATGTTTACTCAAGGGGAAATCTAGATGGTTACTGTTCTGTATTGATAAGAATGTCACCTGTTAAGTGAAGTCAGCCTTTTAATTGAGAATAAGTTCAGAGAAGGAGACACAAAAACTCAGATTTAAAAAATTTGAATGATAAGGATGATATTGATTAGGCACCCTACGAAGTAGATTGCTTTTCGACTTTGATCCCAGAATAAGCTTGTCATTTTCTTTTGTACTATCTCAGACATAACCTGCCTTTTCCTAGGGGACTGTTTAAAGAGTGTATTTTGTTCATCCATTCAACAAACATGGAGTGTCTACTATGTCCCAGGCGGTCTTCTAGCTACTAGAGGTATAGCAGCAGTGAACAATATAGAAAAAAAAATTAAAACTCTGGAGCTTACATTCTGGTTGAGGAGAGACAGTAAACAAGTAAGTGAATTATTGATATATTACTTGGTGATTACTGCTATGAAGAAATTTTTTCATGCAGAAGATAGGGAATGCTGTTTAGTGCCTGGATGTGGTTTTAAATAGGGTGGTCATGGAAGGCTTAAACAAAAACATGATGTTTTGCCACAACGTAAGTTTTATGTAAGAACTCTAGGCTTGGCATTTTTCTTGTCATATCTTAGTGGGATATGAATAGCAGGTCTGAGTGTTCACCATTTTACAATGAAGAAACTTGAGGCAAAGAGAACTGTCCAAGTGTACTCAGAATTAACAGAACCTGGATCTTATAACCTTTCGATATGATTTCAGTCTGTGGAGGTTTGAGCTGTAATGCAGCCAGATTTAGCTAAAAAGTCAGTGGGTTCGGGGAAGGCCAGCAGGAGGCAGTGGAGCACCAGCACAAGCTGAGGCCAACTCCCATTGGTGAGGCTTGGGCAAATGTAGCTTAAGTCAGGTGAGAAGCACTGGCTTGGTGGCCTGGGCTTACATGAGGCCTACACTAAGCTCACTGCGTCTCTGCTGTCAGTGAGGAAGGTGGTTTCAGACCCTTCATTTTGGAGGGGCTGTCATTTAAAACAAGGTACCAGGCTCTGTCTGTGACTCTAGGACTGATAAGGCAGATTTCCTTGCTCTCAAGTCTTTGATCCCTGTGGCCTACCTACTAGGATTGAGTAAAGCAACACTGTCTTAATCATGCCTAGGCTCAAGGATCTTGTGATTTAGTCAAGTTCTTAGAGAGGGGAAAAGGATTTTCTACTAAAATCTCAAAAGAATTTCTATATTTTTATCCCCCACTGGAAAGATACTCCACAGGGAAATGAATGATGTCTACAATAAGGTGTGTGAGTCTTGGGCACAATTAATCTTCTTACCTACTACACGCTTTAGTTTGTCTCCACATCTTTGGACCTCAAGGCCTTTTATTTCAACCTCTCATTTCCTTTTCCTTTGCATTGGTTGAGACATTTTTTTAGCTCTCCAGTTGCATTCCTGTATGCCATCCTTACCCTTTGAATTTTCATGTAAGCCTCAAAAAAACAAATATTTCTACATAGTTTCTCTCCACCTATCTTTTCTGCCCCTTCCTTTGGCAGTTTTTAGACTTTTTTTTGTACGAAGAAACCCCTTGTTTTCCGTAGTCTTTCAAAACAACACTGTGATGAACATTCATCTCAGATTTTCTCCACTGTAATATTTAAAAATTGCAAATAAATTGTATTTTATTCTATTAGATTTAGACAGTGTACTCAAAAGCAAAATGTTTGTCAGAATGAGTAAATATGAAACAATACCATTGTCACTAGCTTAAATAGTGGTTAAGTGATATTGTTCAGTAAATCCATATGTAAGGATAAAGTCAGAATAGTAAAAGCTTGACATTTCACAGGAAATGTGTGGATTAAAGGGATTTTTATTTGTTTAAATATAGTCGCTTTGTAATTTAGATAGAATAATACTGTTAAACCAATTTGAAGATAAGGTGTGCTTTCTATGTTGATGTTTTTAGGTTATATTATATTTTGATGTCTCTTTACCAACAAAGGAAAGATATACATATATAGATTAATTCTCTTGGATATGAGTTTTATCACAATAATGCTTTTATTTCTACCTTTAGTTTTAAAAATACTTAAAATTGCCTCTTGAAAAATCTATATTTAAAAAAACATGAATCCAGGACATAGTCATTTTAATTAGTGTATTTGAATATAATGTTCACTAATGAGAATGATCTCAAGGTAATTCAAGAAGAGATCATGAAGTCTGTTTTTCTAGGAAATTTCCAATTTTTTCTGTCTTTAAAGGTGGACTTATTTTTAAAGGTGGACTCTTTTTTTTGCCAACATTGCATGCACTTTCGTTGCCCTTCTTGTTTCCTGTTATGCTTGCTGTAACTCACTGTGTAAACCTTGAGGCTCCATTACTTGCTTTGAGGTTTGGTATCCTATTCTTTAGTGATATTGCGACTGCAGAAACACTGCAGTGTGGTCTTTAGAATTTCAAGGGTGTCATAGTACTTAAGGCTACTTTCTGTCCTCCTTTTTTGCTTCCTTATTCCTTGCAAAGCTTTGCCTTGGCCACATGTGAGTTCAAGTAGTGTGTTTCCACAGTTTCTAAATTCTTACTCTAAGGAATTAGGGACAAGATGATTTCCCCAAATCATCCCTATCCCATGTATGGGCCTTCTAGGAATAGTACCATAAAAATCTGTCTTTATTAATAGGTCCTTTCTGACAAATCAACACTTAAACATTATTTTAACACAGTTTTATGATGATGATTATCTTCTACAGTTTTATGTATTTTAATCATTAACTTATTGATTGTGCCTTGAAGGCCTCTTACATAAAGGATGCAATTTGAATAATGCCTTGGTAAAACCATTTAATCTCTGTTTACAACTATATTATGTTTCATCCCAAACAGTAATGATGACTCCTTTCTATGGATAACATGGCACATATTGTTTACATGTAAATGTTATTTTAAAAGCTATATTTTGTTAGACTTAGATTTTCACATTCAAGATCATTCCTAAAGATTTATGTGATTTTTTAAAAGATAATTTTAATCTACCTATAGTGTGTATAAATTTATTACCTAGAGAAAAGGAAGAAATTATACTGTCTAGTAGGGGAGAGAATTCTGAATAATTAAGGGGCAACTGGTTGGAATTAATTTTAGTACATTGGGGATGAACTAGGTTTAGTTTAAGCCTCTGTTGATAAGAGCTCTAGAATCCTTTCTGTTTATCACAGAAGGCCCAGCCCTGTGTTAATCCTTTCCTGAGCACCTTAGCCAGCAGTGACTAACACCTCTTTCAACCTCCACTAAATTTTAAGTGTCTAAATAGCAGGGATTCTATCTTAAAGTTTTTATATTCTCCCCACCCATCTCTTGCATAGGAAAGAATGCTCTGCACCTAGTCTTTTCTTAATATGTATTCGTTGGCCAAAAATGGACCTAAGTGTGTTAAGCCATTAGTTTTCTCTTTGAAAAATTGAAGGATATGCTACTTCATGGTTTTTTCCTTCATATTTAAATCTTGCTGTTGTCATAAAGACAGACTTTTCATTTAAAAGTATAATTGCTAAGGAATGTGTTTTCATTCTTTCAGGGAACCCTTCCAGCCAGATCATTTGCTTTTCTGACTGTTGTGTATAGACAGGCTTGTCCTTAGAGAAAGCAGACTGTGAGTGCCACAGTGAATGCCTTGTATTATTTTCTCTTTACAAAGATAAACCAAAGTTCTAAAAGAGCACATTGTCTGCTTTATTTGTAGGGAAAGAATGTGTATCAAAAGGGGATATAATATTTTGTTGATAGAGACAAATGGACTAAAAAATAATGTTATTTTTCTTTGAAACATTTAACATTTTAAGTGGCTTTTTGAGAAGATGGCTGATTTAAAGTAAACTTGCTATCCTTTGGCATGGTTGAGGCATTTAAAATAATTTGTTAGAGTGGGGAATGCTAACCTTTATTAAGTCCTGCAGTATGTCTGGCACTTTTTGTAAATATTGTATCTATTTATTTATTTGAGACAGAGTCTTGCTCTGTCACCCAGGCTGGAGTGCAGTGACTTGATCTTGGCTCACTGCAAGTTCCACCTCCCAGGTATGAGCGATTCTCCTGCTTCAGCCTCCCAAGTACCTGGGACTATAGTTGTGCACCACCACGTCTGGCTAATTTTTGTACTTTTAGTAGAGACAGAGTTTTACTATGTTGGCCAGGCTTGTCTGGAACTCCTGACCTCAAGTGATCCACCTGCCTCGGCCTCCCAAAGTGCTGGGATTATAGGTGTGAGCCACCGTGCCTGGCCTACTTTGTATAAATATTCTTATTTAAGCTTTAGAAATTCACCATATAAAAATAGGTATAATTACCTGGATTTTGCAAAGAAACACCCTGAAGATCAGTGAGTTTACTGCTAGGTAGAAGTTCCGGGATTCACATGATTTTTCTGTTCATTGGATGGGCCATACCACAAACACTAGATAAGCTTTATGACATTGTCTTCTTCCTTTAGAAAAATGAAAAATAAAAACAAAATATTGAAAGGAACAGAGAATTAGACATTGCTGAACACCTGGCTAAATTAATTATTCTACTTGAGCCCTAACTTTAGCTAAGGGGGATAGAAAAAGTCCATGATTCTCATTTTTGGAAAGAAATATAATTTTCTTGGACAAGAAGAGCTTTTATTTTCATATTTATTAAACTCTGTCTGTATACTAATGTTTTAAGGACTGTCAGTAATCAGGAACACAATGCCACCATTCACAATTGCCATAATAAGAATAACATACTTAGGAATACAGCTTAACAAGAGAGGGGAATGAGCTCTACAATGAGAATTAGAAAATACTGCTCAAAGAAATCAGAGATGACACAAACAAATGGAAAAACATCCCATACTCACAGATAGGAAAAATCAGTATCATTAAAATGGACATTCTGGCCAAAGTAATTTATAGATTCAATGCTATTCCTATCCAACTACCAATGACATTCTTCACAGAACTAGAAAAACTATTTTAAAATTCGTATGGAACCAAAAAGGCCTTAGTAGCCAAAGCAATCCTAAGCAAAAAGAACAAAGCTGGAGGCATCATGTTATCTAACTTCAAACTATACTACAGGGCTACAGTAACCAAAACAACATGGTACTGGTACAAAAACAGACATAGACCAATGGAACAGAATAGAAAGCCCAGAAATAAGGCTGCACACCTACGACCATCTGATCTTCAACAAAGCCAACAAAAGCAATGGTGAAAGGACTGCCTATTCAACAAGTAGTGCTGGGATAACTGACTAGCCATATGTAGAAGACTGAAACTGGACCCTTTCCTTACACCATATAAAAAAATCAACTCAAGATGGATTAAAGACTTAAATGTTAAACCCAAAACATTACAAACCCTGGAAGACAACCTAGACAGTACCATCCTGGACATTAGAAATGGACAAAGATTTCATGACAAAGATACCAGAAGCAATTGCAACAAAAGCACATATTGGCAAATGGGATCTAATTAAACTTAAGAGCTTCTGCACAGCAAAAGAAACTATCAACAGAGTAAACAGACAACCTACCAAATGGGAGAAAATATTTGCCAACTGTGCATCTGACAAAGGTCTAATATCCAGTATCTATAAGGAACTTAAATTTAAAAGAAAAACAAAAAAAAAGTCCATTAAAAAGTAGGCTAAGAACATGAACAGATACTTTTCTAAAGAAGACATACATGTGGCCAACAAGCATAGGAGAATAAGCTTAGTATCACTGATCATTAGAGAAATGCAAATCAGAACCACAGTGAGATACCATCTCATACCAGTCAGAATGGCTATTATTAAAAAGTCAAAAAATAATAGATGCTGGTGAGGTTGTGGAGAAAAGGGAACACATACACTGTTGGTGGGAGTGTAAATTAGTTCAACCATTGTGGAAAGCAGTATGGCAATTCCTCAAAGAGCTAAATACAGAATTACCATTTGACCCAGCAATGCTATTACCGAGTATAAGAGGAATATAAATCATTCTACCATAAAGACATATGCATGCGAATGTTCATTGTAGTACTATTCACAATAGCAAAGACATGGAATCACCCTAAGTGCCCATCAGTGACAGATTGGGTAAAGACAATGTGGTACACATATACCACATTTTATGGCTGAATACTCTTCAGCCATAAAAAAGAACAAGATCATGTCTTTTGCAGGAACATGGATGGAGGTGGAGGCCATTATCCTTAGCAAATTAATGCAGGAACAGAAAATCAAATGCTGCATGTTCTCATTTATAAGCGGGAGTTAAATGATGAGAACTCATGAGCATAGAGAAGGGAACAACAGACACTGGAGCTTCCTTGAGGGTGGAGGGTGGGAGAAAGGAGAGGAGCAGAAAAAAATAACTATTGGGTACTAGCTTAGTATGTGGGTGATGAAATATCTATACACCAAACTGCTATGATGTGAGTTTACCTATATAACAAACCTGCACATATCCCCCAAACTTAAAAGTTAAAAAAAAAAAAGAAAAAAATATGACTCTTGACCTCAGGGAACATAGTCTATACTACTAGACTGTTATAACTTGTATTTTAATATAACTATTGAATTGCCTTGTAAATAATAATAACCTCTTGGGAGACAGATACCACATTTTGTTAGGTTTAAATTCAAGTAAGTATTGGATATTTAGAAATATTTCACAAAACTTAATAAATAAGTAGACATTAGTCTCCTGAGAGGGAAGTTCTCTTGTTTTGGAAGGCACTGTGGTGTGGCGGGGAGAATGTAGACTTTGGAATCAAACCAGAGCCCAGACCTATTTGCCAGTTATTTGCCATGTGACTTTGGTTAAGTCAGCATCTCTGGACTTAGTTTTCTCATCTTTCAAATAAGGATAATGATGGGATTGATATGAAGATTACATATGATAATAACCCTTAGTATTGTGCTTATTAGCACAGTGTCTGATACATAGCAAATGATCAATAAAATGCCCTCCCCTAAGTTCTTATTTAATATGATGTAGAAAGTAGTAAGCATAGTAGGAGGACAAGCTCAAGAGTAAGATATATCTACCTAGGAGACTCAGAGAGGGCTTCATGGACAAATTGATATTTGAATTGAACCCTGAAGGATGGTAAGATTTGGACATACAGAATTGGGATGCATGAATATTTTATGATCCATGAAATATTCATATAAAGGTTGTTGGTAACATAATAAAGGACCTTTTAAACCATGGTTTGGCTAAACACATAGAACCATTACTCAAGTGGAGAGTCTTACGCTGAACCTTTGTATAAGCTGAGAGCATGTTATTAAGTTTCAGTTAAAGTATTCCTGCTGGATGCTGAGAAATTACAGGTTGGTTTTATTGCTGTCTTCTGATCTTTATCTTTCTTAATATATATATAGAAGTTAGAAAATATATATGGCGGTTCCTTGATACACATGTTTTTATTTCTTTTAAAATGTCAGATGTCCAAAGCAAGTTGGTTGAGGGTGCTGAGCTCTTTTCAGGGTTCAATTTTCTAATCAATGCCAAGATGCTAACTTTTAGGTAGTCATTAACGAGATACATTTTGGGGCTGGGCATGGTGGCTCACACCTATAATCTCAGCGCTATGGGAGGCCAAGGTGGGAAGATCACTTGAGCCCAGGAGCTCAAGACCAGCCTAGGCAACACAGCAAGACTCCCTCTCTCCAAAAAAATAAAAAAATCAGCTGGGTGTGGTGATACACACCTGTAGTCTCAGCTATTTGGGAGGCTGAGATGGGATTGAGCCCAGGAGTTCAAGGTTACAGTGAGCCATGAGCATGCCACTTCACTCTAGCCTGGGAGATAGAGTGACACCCTGTGTCTTAAAGAAAAAAAAAAAAGTTTTGGGCTTTGAGGTGATACAAAGATATAAGATCAGTGCCTCTCAAACTTTTTATGTTTGTCATACATTTTTTGAATATTTGAATTTTTGATAGCATGCTTAAAGTATCTAAGTTGAATCCATGGAAGTTATTATTGCAGAAATCACTTGGGTCACCCTTCAGAACTGTGTCATCATCCAAGCAGAACTGTTGACTGCCCTGACTTCAGTGTTTACCTATTCTAGTGAATTCTTGCAGTCTTTTTTTGGCTTTACCTTGTACTTCTTATCTGCAGCTAGTTATGCCTTTCTCAAAATTGTATCTAAGGGCCTACTCAGGTCAAGTTCCATCTGATTGATTTCACAATAACCATCTTTCCTCATTTTCAGCAAAGATAAATTTACTTGCTGATTTAAAATAATTGAAGAATTGGTTTAGAATAGTACATAGGATACTTGACGGGATAGATCCTAGACAACATAGATATAGGTATTTAACATCGCTAAGGTGGTACTGGCATACCTAGAAGATATTGCAGGTTTTGTTCCAGACCACCGCAATAAAATTTAAATAAAGGAAGTCACACAATTTGCTTTCCCAGTGCATATAAAACTCATATGTATACTACACTGCAGTCTATTAAGTGTGCAATAGCATTATATCTACAAAAACAATGTAGACACCTTTATTTAAAAATACATTTTTTGTTACTAAAAATGGTAATGATCATTTGAGCCTTTGGTGAGTTGTAATCTTTTTGCTGGTGGAGGTTCTTGCCTTGATGTTGATGGCTGCTGACTGATCAAGGTGGTAGTTGCTGAAGATTGGAGTGGCTCTTACAATTTCTTAAAATAAGACAGCCATGAAGTTTGCTGCATTGATTGACTTTTCCTTTCATGAAAGATTTCTTTGTGGCATGCAGTGCTGTTTGATAGCATTTTACCTGTAACAGAACTTCTTTCAGTATCGCAGTCTATCCTCTCAACCCTGATGCTGTTTATAAGTTAAGCGTATGTAATAATCTAAATCTTTTGTTGTCATTTCAACAGTGTTCACAGCATCTTCACCAGGAATAGTTTCCATCAGGAATAGAAACCACCTTCTATGCTCATCCATGAGAAGCAACTCTTTATCCACTAAAAAGTTTTATCATGATGTTGCAGCAGTCAGCTCATCTTTAGGCTCCACTTCTAATTCTAGTTCTCTTGATATTTCCACTGCATCTGCAGTGACTTCCTTTCCTGAAGTCTTGAACCCCTCAAAGTCATCTATGAAGGTTGGAAATCAACTTATTCCAAACTCCTGTTAATGTTGATATTTTGATCTCTTTCCAAGAGTCACAGATATTCTTAATGACATTTAGAATGGTGAATTCTTTCCAGGTTTTCCATTTACTTTGCCTAGATCCATCAGAGGAATCACAATCTATGGCAATGATATCCTAATTAAATATATTTTTAAAATAATAAGACTTGAAAGTCAATATTATTCCTTGATCCATGGGCAGCAGAATGGATGTTGTGTTAACAAGCATTAAAACATTAATCTCATCATACATCTCCATCAAAGCACTTGGGTGACTAGGTGCATTGTCATGAAGCAGCAATATTTTGTAAGGAATCCTTTTATCTGAGCACTAAGTCTCAATAGTGGACTTAACTGTTCAGTAAACTCTGCTATAAACAGATATGCTGTTACCCACATTTTGTTGTTCCATTTAGAGGTCACAGGCAGAGTAGATTTAGCACAATTCCTAAGGTCCCTAGGATTTTCAGAATGCTAAATTGTCTTTTACTTCAAGCTACCAGTTGCTATAGCCCCTAACAAGAAAGTTAGGGGCTAATTTGAAGCTAGGCATTGACTTCTCCTTTCTAGCTGTGAAAGTCCTAGTTGACATCTTCTTCCAATATAAGGCTGTTTTATTCACATTGAAAATGTGTTGTTTAATATAGCCACCTTTGTCATCTTAGCTAGTTCTTCTGGGTAACTTGCTGCAGCTTCTCCATCAGCACTTGCCACTTCACCTTGTACTTTTATATCATGGAGATAGCTTCTTTCCTTAAACCTCATAAACCCACCTGTGCTAGCATCAAACTTTTTTTTTTTTTTGTGGAGATGGAGTCCCGCTCTGTTGCCCAGGCTGGAGTGCAGTGGCGTGATCTGGGCTCACTGGAACCTCTGCCTCCCGGGTGCAAACGATTCTCCTGCCTCAGCCTCCTGAGTAGCTGGGACTACAGGTGCACACTGCCATGCCTGGCTGATTTTTTGTATTTTAGTAAAGACGAGGTTTCACCGTTGTTGCCCAGGCTGGTCTCGAACTCCTGAGCTCAGGCAATCTGCCCTCCTTGGCCTCCCAAAGTGCTAGGATTACAGGCGTGAGCCACTCTGCCCAGCCAATTGCTTCAAACTTTTCTTCTATAGTTCCCTCACCTCTCAGCCTTCACAGAATTGAAGAGAGTTACAGCCTTCCTCTGGATTAGGCTTTCACTTAGGGGAATGTTGTGGCTGGTTTAATCTTCCATCTAGACTACTCAATCTTTCTCCACATCAGCACTAAGCCTGTATTGCTTTTTTATCATTCACATGTTCACTGGAGTATCACTTTCGATTTCCTTGAAAAACTTTTTTTTTGCATTCACAGCTTGGCTGTTTGGCACGAGAAGGTTAGCTTTTGGCCTATCTCACTTAACTTTCTCAAAGAGGCTAGCTGTCAGCCCATCTTTGCTTTGCACATGGCTTCCTCACTAGCCTAATAATTTCTAACTTTTTACTTTAAGTGAGAGATGTGCGAGTCTTTTTTTCACTTGGTCAGAGTCCTTATTAATTGGCCTGATTTCAATATTTTTGTGTTTCTGGGAATAAAGAGGCCTGAGGAGAGGGAGAGAGACAGGGTTATGTCCAGTTGGTGGAGCAGTCAGAAGACACACAACATTTATCAGCTAAGTTTGCTGTCTTAGGTGGGTGTGTTTGTGACACCCCAAAACAATTCCATTAGTAACATCAAAGATCACTAATCACAGATCACCAAAACAGACATAATAATAAAATATAGAGAATGAGATATAATAATGAAAAAGTTTGAAAAATTAAGAGAATTACCAAAATGTGACACACAGACACAAAGTGAGCATATCCTGTTGGAAAAATGGCATGGATAGACATGCTCGATGCAGGGTTCCACAAACCTTCAATATGTAAAAAATGCACTATCTATGAAGCACAATGAAATGGGCGCAATAAGATGAGGAATGTGGGTATTATATTCTTCTTAGATAGTTTAGCACTCCAGGAAACACCTTAGTTCTTTATTTTACACTCAGGTGATCTCATCCTTTCTTATGGCTTCACATAGATCTATATGCCAATAACTCCTAAGGGCATATTTTCAGCCTAACCACCTCCCTGAGCTCTAGACCCAGATATCCAAGTGCCTACTTATGATCTACAGATGATCTATGTTCTAGATTATACAAACATCGTAATACTTAGGTGGTATCTCAGACTTAAAGTGCTTAAAACTAAGCTGTTGGTATACCATTCTGCCCCAAACCAACTCCTCCTATCGTCTTTCCAATCTCAGATAATGGCAATCTCATTGTTTTAGTTGCTCAGGTTAAAAACCTTGATGTATATAGTCTTTTACTCCTTTCTCTCATACCGATGCTCTCAGCAAATTCTTCTGGCTCAACCTTGAAAGTATATCATTATCCAGTTTGTACTGCCACAATATTGGTCCACACCATCACCATCTCTTATCTAATTATTGCAATAGCTTCCTAATTCCTCTTCCAGCTTCTGTCTCAGAAGATTTGATCAGTGTAATTATAAGCAGAGAGTACAAGGGCCACTGTTTGGGCCAATTTTTTTCAAAAAGGGGATTTAAAATTTCTTCAAGTCCTAGGACAGAATCTCTTAATGCCCTATAGAATTTCATGTCCCACGTCTTGAGAGAGGTGATTTTCTCCTCTATGTATAGTAAATTGACCATAATATTAAGAGCTTTCCAGTATAGCCTCTGTGAATATCTGATTTTGGGGATAGCCTTTCGATGGACAGTTGCCCTATATATCCTAAAAATGTTACTAATCTTAAAATAATGAGAATATAATGAAGTGTACTCACCACTGAAAGTCTACTGAACATAATCTTCTTTTTAATCATTTAGAATGAACTTCAGGATTTGGAACATGCTTCAGGCTGATCATTAGGAACATCAATTATCATTGTATAGTAGAGGAAGCACTGGTTAGTAGAGATTTCCAGTTGAGTTAGTGTCAGAAAAAGCAGCATTCTGTCTTCTAAAATTAAAAATAGTTTAATTCTTTCTGGTTATTTTCCCCTCTGAAATTTGGGGCATAAGGTTACCTACTGATATTGTGGTAGCAGTGATGGTTGACTGGATTTATATATTACTTAATGGCAGATTTTACTTTAAAAAGGGAAGTTCAGTCGTTGAATTTTGCAAACACTTTATCTGACTTATATATGCCTTAGCTTTTTTATTTATTTATTTGGAGACAGACTCTTGCTTTGTCACCCAGGTTGGAGTGCAGTGGTGCGATCTTCGCTCACTGCAACCTCTGCCTCCTGGGTTCAAGCAATTCTCCTGTCTCCAAGCAATTCTCCTGTGTCAGCCTCCCGAGTATCTGGGATTACAGGCACATGCCACCATGCCTGGCTAATTTTTGTATTTTTAGTAGAGGCAGGGTTTTGCCATATTGGTCAAGCTGTTCTCAAACTCCTGCTCAGGTGATCCACCCTCCTCAGCCTCCCAAAGTGCTGGGATTACAGGCGTGAGCTGATGCGTACAGCTGGCCTTAGCTTTTTAAATTTTATATGAATTTCCCAACTATGTAGACATGAAGTCCTTTCTGGTTTAGTGGCAAAATAAAAGATACTAATGAGAATGTCTTTGGGACATAATTATGTAGATTTAAAGGAGTGATGTAGTTTTAATTATGCCCTTTAGCTAGTGTACTTACATATTAAGCTCATTCATGTCTCCTTTTCCCTCTGAAACATTGCTTTTCTCAAGCCCTAAATTAGTAATCAGCTCATGGGTGTACCTGAAGTTTATGTAAGTTAAGTTGAAGGCTGCCAAATAATGTGTTTAAACTATTAATCCAAAACATACAGTTTATAGTTAGAAAAAAATGGCCCATGGGTTTACAGTGTTCTTTGCTGGACTGACATGGAGGAAATTCCAGCCTTGTATGTGTATGTGTTCCTTTCTCTTTCCCTCCCCAAATAAAAAACATCCTTTGGTTGGAATGCATTGAAACATGTAATATATTGTCTCCCTTTGGCTATTTTTATTAAACTCAGGGAACGTGAAGTAAAATAATAATTGTAATATGAAATTATAAATTTTCTTTCCTTTTTTGGTTTGTTTGTTTACTTTTATTATGGGCTTCTAGATTTAATAGAAAAGTAGCTACCTCGAAGCTATGAAATGATTTATTCACTTTAGGGCAAAACTTATGAGGCTACCAGCCCCTATTTTGTGGGTGGTTTTGTTTTTATTTGTGAGAAGCTAGATAGGGAAAATCATTGGTAAATTTTAAAAAGAAAGGCTCTGAAAATGTTTTGAGGCTAAATTTTCTCTTAAATAATAGTAAAAATGTAGAATTTATAATAGGAGTCAGTAAACTTTCTTTAAAGGGCCAGATAGTAAATAAATTTTGCTTTATGAACCATGTGGTTTCTGTTGCACTTACTCTGCTGCTGCAGCATGAAAGCAACTATCAACAATATTTAAACAAATGGATGTAGCTGTGTTACTATCACAAAAACAGGCAGCCGTCTGGATTCGGCCTGTGGACTGGCCATAGTTGGCCATCTCCTAATTTAGAATGTGGATTCCTTAAATTTTTTTCTTTATTCCTTTTTCAAACTGACATTAAAACACACTGACATTAAAACACACTGATATGTGTTTTAGCTACTTTTATATAATTTTTCTCAATGATCATCATAATAGTTTATGAAACAAGTGGAGAAAATACTTTAAAAAAATTTAACATTATCAAAAATTCCAAATGTATACAAATACAAATTCTCACATATCTGTCGTCATACTAAACAGTTATCAGTCTTTTCCATATTTTATTTATTTATTTATCCCTTATTATTATTTGTGTTTTAGCTATTTTTGAAGCAAGTTTCAGACTGTCATATGCTGCTCTCTCTATATAAAGAGATTTTTTATGAGGAAATGGCTTATGTGATTATGAAGCCTGAGAAGTTCTATGATCTGCTGTCAGCAAGCTGGAGACTCGGGAAAGCCAGTGGTGTAGTTCAACCTGAGTCCAAAGGCCTGAGAACTGGGGGAGCCAGTAGGTCCCAGTCCAAGGATAGGAGAAGACTGATGTCTCAGCTCATGTGGTCAGGCAGACAGGAGAATTCTCCCTTCACCTTTTGTTCTATTCAGGCTCTCAACAAATTGGGTGCTGCCCTCCTACATTGGGGAGAGCAGTCTTCTTTACAGATCCTACTGATTGGAATACCAGTCTCATCTGGAGACACCAAGACACTCTCCAAAATAATGTTTAGCTAAATATCTGGGAACGCTGTGATTTAGTCAAGATGGCATGTGAAATTAACCATCACAGATACCTATACACAGCAGTATGCACCTCTAAAAAAAAATAGACACTTTCTTACATAATTGTAGTGTTACTGTCTTATGACTTGGCAAAATTAGCAATAATTTTTGGTGACATCAGATATCCAGATCATGTTCAGATTTCTCCAACTGCTTAAAAAATGTTTTGTTTTTGTTTTTACATCTGGTTTGTTTGAACTAGGATTTACATCAGGTCACATGTTAGATTTGGCTGTTGTCTCATAAATCTTTTAGTAATCCCTTACCTCTCCTTTTCTCTCTCCTTTTTTGTTTTTGTTTTTTTCAGCCCATTAACTTGAAGAAATGAGCCAGTTCTATATGTTTCACATTTTGGGTTTATTTGTTTGCTTTTTTTGTGGTGTCATTTAATTTGTTACTGTATAACCCATTTTTTTTTTCTGTAAATGGAATTAGCTCTAAAGACTTACGTAGATTCAGGCGCAACCTTTTTGGCAAGAATCCTTCATAAGTGGTACTTTATTTTTCATATTGTGTCACATAGGAAGCATATTGGGTAGCAGTAGTTTGAACCCTCTGTTCTTCAACAAGTCTTCATCTAATGGTTTGTCTATCGAATGATCTTTCCAAAATCACTTATATTATTTTTATTTCTAAAGTTATTAGCTGGAATTCTTCTGTAAGAACATTTCCAAATCATCTTAAGTGTTTGGCTTCCTCAGAAATAAATAAGGGAGATCATATTTTTATTCCATTCTGTACCTTAGTATTGAGTCTCAAAAAGGTTAAATGAATTGTCCAAACATATAAACTTTGTATCCTATATAGCTCAGAATCAAACCTAAGTTTTTGATACCAATTCTAATTATTTCAGATGCACTGCCAATGGGAGTCAGTCAGTTGACATCGTAACAGGTTCTTCTTTGTTGTTGTATGTATAGCTTTAAAAGTTAAGGGATGAGAAATAGGATGATTTAGGATAAGCCCCTTTCCTGTTTTATTTTCTGCATAAATTCAGGAAAGAATAGGTAATTTCATCTGACAAACTACAGATATAATTTTCAGAGCAATTAAGTGCTTGGAAATACAATTACTTGGATTCAAATTCTTGCTCTGCAACTTAGCAGCTGTAACCTGACTTTTGGCAGTTTCCTTAACCTTTCTGTGCTCCAGTTTCTTCATCTGTGAAAAGAGGATCCTAATAGTATCTGTCCTAAAGGGTTGTTGTGAGTACTAAATAAAGCTAATACAAAGAAAGTGCTTAGAACCGTGCCTTGTACATAGTAAGTACTCAATATCATTTTGCTTTTCAGAAATAAAACTGTCCCATGGCTATACCTTTACTTCTACCAGTCATCCAAACCAAACATTAGAAATATTGTAATTTTGATCAGCATGGGGATTAGAAAAAAAAAAGAAAAATATTGTAATAAGCATAAACTTGTAGATAGTAGTTGAGAAGATGTATAAAATCTGAATGTTTGTGTTTTAGATTTTTTGTGTTTGAATTTCTTGATGGCTTGACTTAAAATTTTTTTATTTTATGATGTAAAACCATTCTGTTTTTCACTTTTACTACAGTGTTCAATACATTACATGAGATATTTAATGCTTTTATAAGGTAAGCTTTGTGTTGGATTAGTTTGCCCAACTGTAGGCAAATGTAAGTGTTCTGAGCATGTTTAAAGTAAGCTGTGATTTTTGGTAGGCTGGGTGTATTAAAATTCATTTTTGTCATGATATTTTCAACTTATGATGGGTTTATCAGGACATAATCCCACCATAAGTCGGGGAAGGTCTCCACTTTTCTTTAGAGTCTTAAAGGTCTTCCCCAAGTGCAGTAGGAAAAGCTATCATAAGTATTGCCTTATATTCACTAGGACGTAAAATATGTTATTGTGTAGTATGTGAGAAAGCAAAATGCCCTTTGCCTTTCCCCCCCGTTTTTCATTACCTACTTGCTAGAGTTATAGATAGTATCACTTGATTGAAATTGTGTTTATAATCACATCTTAGTCATGTTGGGGGAGATTTTTTATAGACATATTTTAAAAGATCCTTTTAGCAGGCTATTTTTCATCATTTAAAGAGCAAGGGAAATCATATTTTTCCAGAAATACTGCAGTGAAATCTGCCTGTAACTATAATTCTGCATTATGTTTTCATAGTTGACATCTTAAAATGTGAACGAAGGTATGTATATGCATTTGGTTTGATTTTAGACTGTTTGTTTGTTCACAGGCATTTCTTCTCTGATTTGTTATACAATATTATGAAAAGCTTTTTGCTATATATTTCCTGAGCTGTCAAAAAGTATCTGACTTTTTGAGTATGACTGAAAAAAATACTTCAAAAGGACAATTGTGTTCAATAAATATATAGTCCATATTATTTAAAAATTTGCCCAGTATTTGAAAATGCTTTGTATTTGACCACATAAATCAGAGTGGGTATGCCCAGTCCAATTTTCTAGGTGGATAGGTAGGAAAATATGTTTTTCCATGACCAGTAATGTCATTTATTATGTCACCCAAATCCAATGAATAACTTGGTTTTGTTTTACTGTAAAGATCCTAAACCTTCTTTTATTGGTCTTTTCCCCTCATTGTTTATGTGAGATTACATCACCTAATCTGAGGTAGGAAGAGCTGCCATCTGAAGAACTGCAGGTTTGTAGGCTTCTGTGTCAATATTTTATGGGGAAAACCCCTACTATTTATTATTTATTCCTTGAATCAGCTTTTCAGTATTACTTGTTCGCTACATGCCCCAGCATTTCTGTATTTGAGAATGAAACACCATTGTAGAACATTATGATAGAATAGAATAAAATTGGAAGCAGTAATCATGGCTTTTCTATTTAACAGTTTTGATTGCCAAAGGAAAATGTATAGAAAATTCTATTCTCACAAAGATATTAAGGGAATAATAAAAATGGTGAGCAACCATGTAGTTAAATGTGAAGATTGGAGAGCTATCTAAGACTTAAAGGGGGTGTGCCTGTCCAGGTACTTTGCTACAAATACATGCGTTTTCAACTATGCTGGTTAAAGCCTGAGCATTAGAAAGAAAATTGGATCTAAAGGCTGAAGGCCACAGGCCAGGCCCTTGCAACCTCTTTGGGAGCTCTGAAAAGCTTTTTACCCTCTCTGGGCCTCTGTTTTCTCCCCAACTAAAGGAAAGAAAGAATGCCTGCTTTTTGGTGACGATCAAGACTTAAGTACGTTTTCTATAAGTGTAAGTTCTTTCTGAACTTTGGATTGCTATTGCACCAAAGTTAGGATGAGCTATATTGGTTATGAGGGAGTACAGTTATGATTATTTGGGTCAGTTAAGATTTAACTTGGTTCATTTTATCATTCTGGTCAAGATACTTACTTTTCCTAAGGTCTGTCTTATGCTCTCATTTTTATATGGGAATAATAATCTCTATTTTTTGTGGGTTCTTGTGAGGAGCAGGGATAATGTCTGTCAAGTGCCTGACACACTGCTGAGCACATATAGGCACTCTGTACGTTGTAGCTGTTGTTAATTTACTTTAAAAAAATTATTGATAGTTAACAAATACTATTTTATGCATGTTAATTTGAAAGGAAGTAAATGAGCCCTTTTGATAGTAGGAAAAGTTGCAGATATTAACAGTAAGTGGCATTTGTGAAGAGCATAATTTTCTAATAAATTTTTAAGTAATTGGATTAGTTAAAAATTAATTGTTGCAAAATTAAGTAATATTGATTTTTCTTAAAACCAAAACACTGATAACTACAAAAAGTAAGCAAGTTCTAAGTCTAGATTTGCTTATGGTCTTTCTTTTCTCCCTGAATGCCATCATCTATGTTCATTACTCAGACTTTTTTGAAAATAGAATTTGAACATAAACTTGTAGAAGTATAATTAAATGAGAAAAATATATATTGAGGTTTATAATCTGCCTGTGAATTCTAAGGTGAATTCATCAACCTGCAGTTTTTATTTCAGTTCTTACCCTTTTCTTTTTTTTTTTTTTTTGAGATGGAGTCTTGCTCTGTTGCCAGGCTGGAGAGTAGTGGCGCGATCTTGGCTCACTGCAACCTCTGCTTCCCAGGTTCAGGCTATTCTGCCTTAGCCTCCTGAGTAGCTGGGACTACAGGCACGTGCCACCACGCCCAGCTAATTTTTTTATTTTTAGTAGAGACAGGGTTTCACTGTGTTAGCCAGGATGGTCTCGATCTCTTGACCTCATGATCCGCCCGCCTTGGCCTCCCAAAGTGCTGGGATTACAGGCGTGAGCCACCACACCCTGCCACTTTGCTTAACTTTATTAGTTATTCTTGCCCATTATTTTCTTGTGGATGTGAAAATGAATTGTATGTGCATCAGAAACCATATTTTTAGTTCGTTAACTCATGGCAGCTGCTGAGCCATGGTGAGATCTTTAAGAAAGGTAATAGAAACACTTGTCTAAGAAAATGGTAGGAATCTAAGTTAACTGATGTGAAAGAGCTGTGTATACATCTCTTTATTGTGCTGTTTTATATAGGTTTATAATGAAAGCCAAATGCCTTTGTTTCGTCTTTTTGGTTTGATGCCTTGCCAGTGTCATAGAGCAGGAAATGAGCTTTATCATTTCTTTTGTGATCACCTAATTAGCAAATGTCTTTAATTTCCTTTTAGAATTCATGAACTTGATTATATTTTCCTATTCACTGTCAGTAATAATCTTGACTATCCCATTTCTCTATATGCTGCTGGCTTTCTCTTCATATCTATGAACAGCACTGTTTTTCTAACATTAAGATAATTTTTCTAATTGTGTTGTCAAATACTCAGGAAATGAACATTGAAAGGATGGATTCTTTTCTTTTCTGGGGATTCTAATAAAAAAGTATCAAGTGGCTTTCCAGGATGTAAAGCAGCAATAATATAGGTAAAACAGTGCCTAGAACAGAGTAAGCCCTCAATAAATAGCTATTATTATGGTTAGAAAATAACTTTTATTTGCCAAACAGTAAATCACAAATTTTGAACTATGCATTCAAGATTATTGAATTTTGCAGTCACTATTTTATGGCTGATGAGAAGATAAATTTCCACTGGTCATCAGTTTTTAGTGACAGACTTCAAGAAAGTGTGTAAACTTTCTTCATCTTCAGGTTGTAAAGCTGAGGAGCATTTTTTAAATTAAAGTTACCATGAAATTGGTGTCATTCCTGTAATTTTTTTGCCGGCAAGATATGCACAGGGACAATTTACACATAGAATTTTATTGGAAAAGAAAATCTATTTGATTTACATAATGATAAAACAGTAAAGAATGCTGTGTTCCTCTAGTTCCCTCATATTGAGGTATCTAAAACCCAAATAAAAAATACATGAAAAGCATTTTCTCATCTTTTTTACCTTTTAATCATTTCCCTTTAGAACACCTGTCATTTCTGTCAAAAGATTTTTCATAAACTTAGAATTTTATTGCATTATTATTTTGAGCTTTAAGATGGCAAATTAGAAATGGCATATCTTCTTTAAATTATTATCAAAGCAAAAGTTCCTACATATCAGTAAGGTAATGAATAAGAATTATGTTTTTTCCTCATGATCTCCCTATTGTGCCTATTATTATACAGAACAAAAACAACAATGAAGGCTGGGCGTGGTGGCTCACGCTTATAATCCCAGCACTTTGGGAGGCCAAGGTGGGCAGATCGCTTGAGGTCAGGAGTTCAAGACCAGCCTGGCCAACAGGTGGTGAGACCCAGTCTCTACTAAAAATACAAAAAATTAGCCGGGCATGGTGGCGTAGCCTGTAATCCCAGCTACTTGGGAGGCTGAGGTTGGAGAATTGCTTCCACCTGGGAGGTGTAGGTTGCAGTGAGCCGGGATAGTGCCACTGCACTCCAGCCTGGGCAACAGAGCAAGAGTCCGTCTCAAAAAGAAACCAAAACAAAACAAAACAAAAAACCAAAAAACACAACAGTGAATGCATTCCCTTCTTACGTAAGAAACACATGTCAGGCTCACAAAACCAAAATTTATTTCTGAGGGTTCCAGCAAATTTGGCAAATTAGTCATTATTAACTGGGTTCATAGCCTCCAAAGACTTAAATTCATAACCCCATTTCTAGTGGATGACAGAAAATGTGCAAGGCTCCTGAATTGTTTCAGTCATCAAGGTGGAGCTGTCTTGATTCATGTAAAATCCGTGAGAGGAACCTCTAATCACTCCTAGTTCTGCCTCCATGTCAACCCCTGTATGTGTTAAATACTTACCATCTTACTTTGTATTTGTTGAAATGTTTCTCTATATTTGTTTTATCGTTCATGAATATTTTGTATCTCCAACTACAATTTTTAAATCCTAGATTTTTTCTAACTTATGCCTCTTATTTCCTGCCTGCTTCCTCAGTGTCCAGTATAGCACACTACAGTCTATTTCTTAAAGGGAAGAAAAAGTTTAATTAATGAACAAGATGCTGTCAATGTAGTATAGCAAAAAGGAGAAGAAAAGGCACATTAAAGCTCCCTTTTATTTTGCTTTGTTCAATCCCCAGTTGAATGGAATAGTGTTGAGTGGCAACCAAAACCATGGAATTTGAGATTACTTGTTTCAATATTGAATGAAGGCTCAGCTCAGAGAGATGGGTTTTAGTGCATTTTTTTTTCCCTTAGTGGAATTAAGGTGACTTTCCTTTGCACGTTGTGTCACCTCAATTTAAGAGCTAAACAGCTTGCGCTTGTTGGTTGGGTAACTTAATTTTGCAGGTTTGTGGATATGATGTTTTCATAACGGAAGGGAAGAGTAGATAATAATCCTCTGAACCTTTAAGGAATTGAGATTTAACAGTACATTATACATTTATATGCAATTTTGTGTGCATACCTGTGGAATTTAATTTATAGTTTTTCAAGATCCTCATTGTCAAGCACAGTGGGCATAAGGCAGAGAGATTTAAGGGAATAGAGAGATGTCCCTGCCATCACAGTTCACTGTCCAGATTGGATGAATATAGCTAAGAAAGAGAGACCAAATCACGTGATGGGGGGCACATCCATTGTTTAAACAAGCCAGAGCAGCACATTTTGTGAAAGGTGTATTATTTGGTATTATAAGGTAAAACAAATTCTAGCCTTTTTACAAATCACCTAATGCAGCTGCTTGGGAAAGGGCTCTCATCTGCCACTACTTAAGTTTGAAAAGTAATATTATGCTTTTCTTTATTTAGTTACTTATTTATTTACTTTTGTTAGAGATTGGTTTTTGCTCTGTCTCCCAGGATAGAATGCAGTGGCACAGTCATAGAGTAACCTCACTGTATGTGAGGTTAACCTCAAACTCTTGGGCTCAAGCAATCCTTCTGCCTTGGCCTCTCAAATTGCTGGGATTACATGCTTAAGCCACCGCACCTGGCCTATACTTTCATTTATTTAGAAGCAAGTTAATTTGTCAACTTGTCTTGGGGATTATTATTATTCAACAAATTACTCTTTAAGCTGCACATCAAAATAGTATTATTCCCGCAATTTTACATGTGTTGTGTTTCTCATTATTGTTCTGCTCATTTGTATGCTATATAGGACATCAGAGGCAGCTTTTGAGTTTTAAAGAAAGTTCATCTACATGTGAAGTGGCTAGTGGAGTTGTGATCCTAGAAGTTGTCCTATCAGAACACCATGCTTAGATTTGCATAGTCATCCTCAGCTTCCTTTTTTTATTACAGTCTATTTAAATGATTAAATTTGAATTAATATATATTAAAGTTCTTCAGGAACAGCATTTCTTTATAAAACAGAATAGAAAATAATTCTTATTTTATGCTCAGTTTATGACATGATAAACCAAAAAGAGAACTATGGAAATTGTATATAGCAGTATGGTAATTTAAAGATCACTCATATAAGCTTTTAAAGATTATATATACGTGTGTGTGTGTTTCAGGAGAAAAGTTGTTTCACGTGATAATCTATGCAGGTAAACTATCCAGGTAAAATGATAAGCAATTGGATTTGTCTTTGGAAGTTTCTAAATGTGATATAGCATAGGAAAACAAATACAGGCAGAAAAATCCCTTAATGTAATTAAATAGCATAGTAACATCCTTACACACATATATAGAGTTTCCGCATAGTCGGTGGTAGAGACAAGTTGTAACGAATTAAGCCCAAAATTGAACTTCAGGACTTTTGAGTTTACCTATCTACTCTTCTGCTATGGCTTTGGAGAAATAATCTATTACTCAGAAACTTTAGCTATAAAATGATAACTGTAGTAGTGAGGCAAAAGAATAGGCTCTGAAGGCAGGGAACCTAAGGCCAATTCATGCAAACTTCCTGGAACTAAATTCTAGGACCTTCATTTGCATAAGGTGCCTATTCACACCAGCCTCCGATTGGCCATGAGGCAAACCTGCACTGTGGCCTATGATTGGTCCATTTTAGGACCTTCATTTGCATAAATAAGGTGCCAATCCAGCTTGTCTTTGATTGCCCATGGGCCAGTTCACTTCAGCCTCTAATTGGCATGAGCCAGCCCTTCATTTACATAGGGTGTAACCAATGGGAGACCTCTAGAGGGTACTTAAAACCCCAGAAGACTTTGCTACCAAGGCTTTTGAGCCACTTGCTTGGGCCGCTGCCATTCTGTGGAGTGTACTTTCACTACTATTGCCTCCCACTTCAGTAAGTCTACACTTTCCTTGCTTGTTTGTGTGTGCTGTTCAGTTCTGTGTTCAGTGTGCCAAGGACCTGGACATCTCAATGATCAGAACCTTCTACCCGGTAACAGTACTGAGAAAAATACTGTAAATTTATTTAAAATCAACTAGTTATATAATTTGCAAGTGGCTACTTTTAATTTTCTAATAATTACCTATAGGAAATATTAGGAAAAGGTAATTTCTGTCATCATCACCACCAACAATATTTAGTGTGCCTGTAATGCACTAGCCAGGAAAGAGGGAGACTGAGACCGTTGGGGTCTGAAAAGGAGCAAGGACCAACTTCGGGATCTTCTACCCACTCTGCTGTACTCTTTTTCCAGTAAGGCAGGAATTTTTTTAGCTCAGATCCAGAGGAGAGACTGTGAAATGAAAAATTACAGGGTATCATTTATTCAGTAAGTACTAGATAGAATCATATGAAGTTGCTGTTAATATAGATCAAAAATAGTACAACGTCATGGCAGTTTCATGTAGTCCCATCTAATATTTATAGAGCTCTCGGTATGTCCTGGGCATTGTTGTGGGTGCTTAAAGGTATAGAACTTAACAAAATAGACAAAATCCCTGTTTTACTGGAGTTTGCATTCTCATAGAACCTCCAGCCAGACTGCTCTTCTTACCCTAGAGTCAGGTATACCCAACTACCTGCTCTGTGTCTCCCCTTGGATGCCAAATAGGCTCCTCAAACATAACATGGCACAGACCAATCTCCTGGTGGATAAACAATACACTTAGATTTTCTTCCTGCCTTATAGATAGAAATCAGGGCTAGAAGGACCATGAACGACCTAGCCCAAGATCCATCTTTTTCTCTCTTTCTCACTGTCGAGTTAATAGAGCCAATAAATAAGATAGTAATTTCTATCACACTAAATGGTGATTTTTATCTGTTGAATTGTAAAATGTACCCAGACATGAAAAGGGAGGCTGGTAGACTGCTGAACACAACTATGATGTATTTGCTTTTTCTAATACATTGTGACAAGCTATTCTGTATCCTTCACTACACATTGTAAATAGCTGAGAGGTGTTATGATTCAGTGAATGAGCTCTGGATAGGGAATCAGCAGACCTAAATTGGAGTTTTAGATTTGCTATTGTGGGACTCTGTTACTCAGCTAGCCATCAGCAAATATAAATAAGTTAACTATTCCTACATACTTAAATGATATTGTGAAAATAAATGAGATAATTACCAAGTGGTTGGAAAATTTACTCTTGAGGGGTGATAATTGTTATATAAAATACAGGTAGTTTTAATATTCAGTTTAATTAATCTGTTTTTTTTCTTGATTAAGGTACTACAGACTTCAAAACTTTGATACGCTTTAAAGTGTATTAAATTGTCTGTTTTTGTTTGTTTGTTTGTTTTGAGACGGAGTTTTGCTTTTGTTGCCCAGGCTGTAGTGCAGTTGTGCGACCTAGACTCACTGCAACCCCCACCTCCTGGGTTCAAGCTATTCTCCTGCCTCAGCCTCCCAGATTGCTGAGATTACAAGCAAACGCCACCACCCCTGGCTAATTTTGTATTTTTAGTAGAGATGGGGTTTCACCAGGTTGGCTAGGCTGGTCTCAAACTCCTGACTTCAGGTGATCCACCCGCCTCGGCCTCCCAAAGTGCTGGGATTACAGGCGTGAGCCACCATGCCCAGCCTAAATTGTCTGATTTAGTCTGTGCTGAGCTTGTTTTTCCCAACTGTTGTTGTAGGCATGTTCATGATAATATACCGTTGATATTTTAATTTTTGGGTTAAATTCCTATAAATAAATATGAGAAATTTGTTAGGATATTTAAAGCATCTTCTAACCTTTAAAAATATGTGCTTTTAAAAATTATTAGGTTGTAGAATTGGGAAAAAATGCAATTTGTCTTATCTTTTTCTATTAGCATGTTTCCAGTGTACAGTTCATTCAAAGGGGGGATAGTGTGGCAAAACAAATTCAGTTTCTTAATGATAAATCACAGTGAAGTACAGAAGTAAACAGATAACCTGAAGCCGGACAATGAAGTTTACATAGCCCTTCCTTGGCAGAGCCATCTTTCTGCACTGCAGAGAACACAATCCATCAATAATTTAATTCAGTTACATTTGGTTATGAGAAAGGAACCACTTTGTTTAGGGGCTTTAATTCTGATCCTTTATCGTCATTCACAAAATGAAGTAACCTATCATTACTGTGATGCCTGTAACGTATCACTAAAAGGGAAAAGGGGGAAGCATTTCTCTTCCGTCATGGACATTTTCTCAGATATTTCTATAGGGTTTGATATGCTGCTTCTTTGTATTAAATAATATTTATGTGGTGTTTATGTAGGTAAATGGTTTAATGTTGCAAATTGCAAGAAAAAAAAACACTAAGACATCTGAAAATTCCCCTCTTATCTGTTTTAGGTATCTTTGAACTATATAATAAAACATCTATGCCTATTGAAGTTAAATGACCTGTTACAAAATCATCTTTTTTATACTTCATATTGGGTAGCATAGCAGTATATTGTAATTTGTATAATTTTATAAGACTTGCTGGATGTCATAGTAAATACAAATAACTTTATTTAAATATATAGTAATTTGCCTTTTTGACAGAAAACCATGTTTCCCCCAAAACTGCATATTTTAAGCAAATTAAAAATTGCCACTAGATTCTGCCTCTGCTGCTTTTTTAACATTGCTGCCACTTTAAAATTTTACTCTAGTTTTAGAAGAGATTACTTGTGTTTCTTGGGTGGGTACAGGCCTGTGCAGATCCTCATAACATGGTAGAAGGAATGGAGACTTTGAACAAGTCATAACAAGGTTTCAGTCCTGACACATCTTACTGTGTGCATTTGAACATTTCACTTAGTATTTCGAAGTCTCAATTGCCTAGGCTGTAAAATAGGGATATTCACACCACCTTTGCCTAGTTATTAGGAGAATCAAATGAGGTAATCTATGTTGTACTTTTCCATTGCCTGGTATATAAATTTTTTTTTTTTTTTGAGACGGAGTGTCACTCTGTCGCCCAGGCTGGAGTGCAGTGGCACGATCTTGGCTCACTGCAACCTCCACCTCTGGGTTCAAGCGATTCTCCTGCCTCAGCCTCCCGAGTAGCTGGGATTACAGGCGCCCACCACCACGTCTAGCAAATTTTTGTGTTTTTAGTAGAGATGGGGTTTCACCATATTGGCCAGACTGGTCTCAAACTCCTGACCTCAGGTGATCCACCCGCCTCAGCCTCCCAAAGTGCTGGATTTACAGGCATGAGCCACTGCGCCCGGCCACAAACTTTTTATTTGTGAGAAAAGTTTAGATTAATGGAAAAGTTACAAAAACAGTACAAAGAGTTCCATATACTCTTCACCGAGCTTCTCCTAATATTAGCAACTTGCACAAATATTATTCAACTATCAGAATCGACAAATTAACATTGGTACAATACTGTAACTAGAGACTTTATTCACATTTTACCAGTTTTCTCACTAATGTCCTTCTGCTATTCCAAGATCCAGTTCAAGACTCCACATTGCATTTAGTTCTCATGTCTCCTTAATCTCTTCTAGTCTGTGACAATTTCTCAGTCTTTCCTTGTCTTTTCATGACCTTGATACTTTGGAAGGATACTGGTTACTTTGGGTTTGTCTGAAGTTTTCTCGTGATTAGATTGAGGTTATGCATTTTTGGCAGGACACGCGTGATGTTCGCTTCTCATCGTATCCCTCTAAGGGCATGTGATATCAACACTTATTACTTATTATTAGTAATTATAACTTATTGCTGGTGATACTAACCTTGATCACTTGGTTAAAGTGGTATCTGCTGGGTTTCTCCACTGTAGAGTTACTATGTTCTCCTCAGAACATCTTGGGGGACATACTTTTAGACTATGTAAATATCCTGTTTCCCCACTGATTTTTGTCATCCCTCCATGGATCTTGCCTGCAAGTATCATCACTAAGATGCTCTAAAGGTTATTTTCTATTTCCCCTATTCCATCTACATTTATTATTGGAATGTTTCTATAAGGAAAAACTGTCCTTTCTCCCCATTTATTTATGTATTCAGTTATTTATGTTGGTGCACATTCATGGATATGTATTTCATTCTATGGGTTATAATCCAGTCTTTGTTGTTGATTTTGTTGTCCAAAATGTTCAGCTTTGGCCACTGGGAGCTCTTTCGGGTTGGTTCCCTTGCTTTCTTGACACACCTCCTTCCTTCTTTTGAGCACATCCTCTCTAGCACCACAAGATGCTTCAGACTCATCTTGTATTTTCCCTGCCTCAGTCCTGAATCAACCACATCTCCAAAAAGTCTTGTAAATTCTCTTAAAAAAATAAATTAGCCATCTGTCAGCTAACATACGTTTTTTCTAATTCTTGATACAGTTTTTTTTTTTTTTAATACATTTCTCTCTTGATCTCCTTCAGAGGCAGCCCTTAGGGAATTTAGTCTCACCAAGTGTGAACTATTGGCTCCTGACCTTTAGAAAAGAAACAAACCCTTGCCTACAACAGGAGGCTTATAGATCCATGTTTTCTTTGTCCTTGAAATTGTACAGGAACAGTCTGGCTTGTCACAGTAAATTAAAACTTCATCTCATCACATTTGTCATTTCAAGGCACGTTATAGTCTTCTATTATTTATTGCTAGCTTTAAAAATTTTATGCAATTTTGTTCTTTCGGTTGTCCGTTATGTAGTAATGCTTAGATGACTAGAAGATAACATGTAATCTAATAAGTGAAACATCTCAGGATATTGTTGTGACTTTGTGAAAATAATTTAATCCTTCAGCAATTTAGTTTAAGAGTTATTCTGGAGCTAATCTGATAATTAACAGTGTAAGTAGAAGTGTGCTAAAGATCTTGTTTTTTTTGCAAAGTTTGATTAATTTTGACATTGACAGAAAAAGGTATATTTTAATATGCTATGAGTAACCACTAGAGGGTAGCCCTGGGTAACCAATTGCCCATTTGCTGCTTATTTAAGTTGTCCTGACACAGAAAGATTGAAAATAAAGGTGGGCATGGGGAGGGAGGGTGCAGATAAAAGCAAGGGGAATTTAAAAGAAACTTGGAGTGACAATGTTATACAAAATGCAGTACAAGGAGAAAAGTATTAAAATGGACAAAGTTATATTTTTATATGTGATAAAAGGTATAGTCTACTAATATAAGGCAATCCTAAACCTTTATGCACCCAGAAACATATTGAAATATATCAATATATAAAAATATTTAAATGTTTATATAAAAATATTGTTTTTCTTAACATTCATAGGATTAAGGAGTTATATTTTGCAGTCTTCTTGGTAGCTCTTCAAAACCCTAGACTTTGCCTGTAATCTCAATGAGGCTCAAAGGCCTCATGCCTTTGAGAGGCCCAGGACAGAGGGTTGCTTGAGGCCAGGAATTTGAGACCTGCCCCGGCATCATAGCAAGATCTCCTGTTTACAAAAAATAAAATTAGTTAATTAATTGAAAGTTTAAAAACCTTAGACTCATTGCACATAATAGTTTTACGAGGTTATGAGTAGTGTAGGCGAGAAAAGATTTTTTCCTTACCCATCTTCAGGTTCATGGCTGAGGTCCTATAGCAAAAGACAGATTAATAAGAGAAATGCATACAAATTTATTTCATATGGGTTTTATATAACATGGGAACCTTCATAAGGATATGAAAACTCAAACAGGAAAAACTTTTTATGCTTAGTTTGATGAAAAGTGGTCATAGGGAAGTATGATAAGATAAAAGGGATATAATCTAATAAACTGGGGAGAAGCTTGCAAGGCCTATTTGTTCACATTCTTCTCTGTATCCCTGTGTCTTCAGTGATAAGGACATTTCTTTCCTCCAGGGCATCTCTGGAATGAAGTTCTTACTGAGAAGAGAGGTCAAAGAATTCTTTCTAGGTTTTATAACCTGCTTTAGGGGAGAAGGGTCGAGGGGATAATGAGAGTGATTTTTCTGCTTTTGCTATTTCCTGAAATGCCAAAGTGCCATATTTTGGAATAACATGTTTTGAACCCCATCTGTAGTATCTTTAGACATCTTTTTGATGATCAAGTTAGATTTTAAAAATTCTATCAAAATAGTCAATACTTGAAAATATTCACTGTTGAGTAAAGTGGCCAGATAATGAGTTCTAAAAAAACAACTATGAAAGCAAAAAAAAAAAAAAAGGGAGGTGGGGACGGAAAATAAATCTGGGAAAATAAGTAAATAGGGTGAAACTAATCTAGTAAAAGTGAAATAAATTTGCATTTAATTCCTCAAAACATTTTTAAAAATCATAATTCTTGTTTCTGTGAAGAAAAGGCAGCTTCTCTCTAGATTAGCTCTGATCAGCTAATTGTGCAGTCTCTGAATGCAGTATTGGATGATGTTTTCAGTTTTCTTGTTTCTGTGGAGTGAAAAGACCATTTATTCAAGCTGAGCCAACTATCTGGGACTAGCAAATTCTACATCACTCGGCGTACTCCTGTGGTTTTCTGGTGATACTTGTTTTATGTTGGCTCCTTTTCTGCTACTGAGGTAGAGACTAAATTGACCACCTTTTAAGGATTACTAAATCTAGTCTTTTAGGCTAGAAGTATGTGATTAGTAAATGTTTTACTTCCTAAGTGAAGGGTTGTCTGTGGTTTCTATCTCAAATTTTGGCAAATTATATTTGGAAGTTTAATAAATTTTCATTGCTGTTACATCAGTGGCATTCATATCAATGAATAAAGCAGATTTTTCTAAAACAAGGGTGAAAATTTTATCATTAATATATCGTTAATAGTAGGCATACCTGTCTGAACAGATAGCTGATGAAAATTATCTCCCGTAGAACTCCCCCTGACCATTTCCTCCAGGTTGAACTGTTGAAGGCCTCTATTTAAATAGTATGCTAAGTTATAGTATTTAGGGGCAGGAACTTACTTGCTAAATCTTTTTTTGGCACTGAAAGTTAACAGAGAAATATGTCATAAGATTAGCTTTCAGTCCTCTGGTGGGGATGACCCTATGAACATACAGTCCAAAAAAGATTCCTAACAGTTCAGCCAAGTAAACATTCATTGAGCAGCTGCAATTTGCTAGGTTTTGTGCTACACACAGGGTTTAAAGAAGTGAACAAGAGGCGCATGAACTAGGCAACGCAGGGTCTAAGGCCTTCCAGACCAGCATCCCATGTAGCTGGGACTACAGGCATGGGGCAACATGCCTAGCTAATTTTTTAAATTTTTTGTCTCACTATGTTGCCCAGGCTGGTCTCAAACTCCTGGACTCAAGCAGTTCTCCTGCCTCAGCCTCCCAAAGTGCTGGGATTACAGGTGGGAGCCACCATGCCTGTTAGAAAGGTTTTTTTCCTAACTCACTTAGAAACTGCAACTTAGGGTTAGACCCTCTGTTCCTTGTTTTACTATCAAATAATGGCTGCACTAGGTAAGGTCTGAAGCCTGTTCCAGCTTTTAAATCCTAATTCTAACTGGTAAGAAAACTAAATTTGCTAAGGCTCCAGATCAAGTTGCTAGTTTAATAAGCAATGGCGTGTTCTATATCCTTTCCTCTCCATTTGTATACTTCCTTTTCTCTGATTTTGTACTTCAGTTCCTTGTCGTGTCCTCAACTTGATAATTATAGGAAGTTGGAATGTGAAGAAAACTGGCCATTTGAAAGCATACTGAAACACTATTTAATATTTTTTAGTTCAGACTTTTAACTTCAAGTTTGCCATATTTTATTATTCTAAAGTTCTGTTAAATTAGAAACTGGATAAATAATATGAGTGACTTGTTAGAGTTACTATTTCTTTAGATAGTAGATAATTTTTCTCTGGTTTTCATTGAAATCAGAAACATTTTGTTTAACTGTGGTTCAGTGCGACTTTCAGATGACCCTTGAAGCAACTGAGTGACAGTGGGGAAGCAACCTGTAGTTGAATGGATAACTGATAGTTGGTTATATGTGTTTATTTCTTTTCTCCATTTATAATTTTATAATATTTTCTTTATTATTATTATTATTATTATACTTTAAGTTTTAGGGTACATGTGCACAATGTGCAGGTTTGTTACATATGTATACATGTGACATGCTGGTGCACTGCACCCACTAACTCATCATCTAGCATTAGGTATATCTCCCAGTGCTATCCCTCCCCACTCCCCCCACCCCACAACAGTCCCCAGAGTGTGATGTTCCCCTTCCTGTGTCCATGTGTTCTCACTGTTCAATTCCCACCTATGAGTGAGAATATGCGGTGTTTGGTTTTTTGTTCTTGCGATAGTTTACTGAGACTGATGGTTTCCAATTTCATCCATGTCCCTACAAAGGACATGAACTCATCATTTTTTATGGCTGCATAGTATTCCATGGTGTATATGTGCCACATTTTCTTAATCCAG
>NC_000003.12:91364151-91438798 GCF_000001405.40 Homo sapiens | reverse complement strand
TGAAATAACTATCCACTTGACTTCTGGAAACCTTAGTTTCCTCATTTATAAAATACAGATATCTAATTTGCATACCTTACAGTTAGTGAAAAGTCCAGGAAGAATCATCTTGTTAAACACTAAAGATCTGTAGAAATGTAAGCTACTGTTGTTGAAACATCACTAAGTGTTACCCTGGTTTTTTTTGTTTTTGTTTTTGTTTTTCTTTTTCTTTTTGCTAATAACAGTAGTGCATTTGTACGCAATTCCCCATTAGGAATTTAGAAATTTTATTTATTAAATATCTGACTGAATATAATAGATATAGTTAGAATGATGCAAATCACAGAGCCCCAGGTGACAAATAGCCCTCAAATCTTGTTTTCTGAGTCTATTTGGGTATAGTGAAAAAGATGAAACAAACCCACTAGCCAGCCTACCTCCAGTATTCCTGAACAGATAGCTCTCCATTTTCCTCTGATGATTATGGCAGAGCCTTTGATACACAGCTGACCTTTCTTTTGATCTATTGACATCACTGAAAGTGTTCTGCTTAATGAGTGGCCACATCAGTTTACATAAGGTTATTCTATTTAATACTTATTCTATGGATTTTTGGCATTTCACTATTTCCTTTCCATTTTCTGAAAACAATGTGGTCGATGAAAATTTTAAAACTGTGTCTTGACCTTGCCCCACGGGAAATTTGAGAAAGAAATTCTGTATACTCTGGAGTCCAGAACTGAAAATGTTCTCCATGACTTCAGGGGAAGAGATTAAGAAATGAAGATGAAGAACATGTGTCCTGCTTTTTTGGATGGAACCTTCATAATAGGTGAAATTTTTACAATTTTTAACACCTTTTCAGGGGAACTCCCAGGAGTCTTCAGAGATATATTTGATTATAAAATGAACTATTTTATAAATTTCACCTTTCAAAAATGGCACAAACTAGTTTCTACAAATTTTATACACATAATTGTAGCATATAATACATTCTTACAGTTTAGTCTACAAAGAGACTGAGGTAACCTATAATTGCCTAACATAATTCAGCTAGTAGGTGGCAGAGTTAGAACCAAAATCTGTGTTATCTCTGTAACACCTTGCTGCTTCACAAGCCTGTGAAAAGTTCTCACCGATGAGAAATGAATTAACTCTTACAGAGCAGAAAAAGGAATATTTAATACACCATAGGAGGTAATTGGCTGAATTAGAATAACAAAAGCAATGTTTTCCAGCTGTGTTACAGACTTCAAATTGCTTAACTGATTTTTTTAAGCTCCAATGAGGAGTTAGAGACAGTAACTAGATGCAGGTTTTTCTAATGAAGAAGCTGGAGGCAAAACGTAAGTAATTTAAGTAATATTAAACAACACACCGGGTCTGACCTACTCAAGATAGCTTTTCCTAGTTAATAGTAAAACTGACAACCTTGGTAATGTTAGTAACTCTAAAGTATTGAGTGCTTACTATTTTTTACAGAAAAGCGGAGCTGTACATTACACTAGTTAAAGTGGTAAAAACAGATTGTATTCAGGAACTACTGTAATAGGGGAAGAGAGACCTTAGTATAGAACAGGGTTCAATTCTGAATACAGCATAGACCAATGGGGATTTATAGCCAAAGAGCAAGATGGCATTAATGGATGAAAAATTACGGAGATGAAAGAAACTTAAGGAGTGGGGAGATTGTGGTTAAGCCAACCTAAAATGATTCTTGCTCAAGACAGGCTGAGTATTGAGATACCAAGGCGGGTGTTGGAGAGTGCAGGGATGCGGAATTTGATTAGATACTGAGGGTGATCAAATATTGAAGGTGAACAGATAGTGAGGGTAGGGGATTCTCTCTAAACTGACTGCAAGATTCTTACTACAACTGTGCTATGCAAAATTGAAACCAAAGATTAAGGTCTAGTTGAGAAGAGGATTCCAAGGAGCCTGACTTAAGTTTGGCCAAGGAAGGCATCTTGTCAGTTGCTCCTTTTGTTTGAGGAAATAAGCATTATTCTCTTCTCTCAGCAATCTAAGTCCATCTTGTGTTCAGTTCCTTTTCAGTAAAGACGAGCTGAACCATCTGTTGAGACTTCTTAATGTCTTGAGATCATGGGTAGAACTTATGCCCAGTTCGTGTAGCTGTTCTTTCTAAGTCACCACCTGAGTAACCAAGATCACCTACAACAGACCTGCAATGTTCTGGATACCTCTTTTGCTCTCATAGTGAGAGTGAGGTCAACTGGAGGGAGTGGGTGATTGTTTTAGAGATAACTTTAAAAAAGGAAAGAAATTGTGGGGAATCAAGTAGATGAAGGGATTAGTAAGATTAGAGAGGTAGCAAGATCCATTCCAGTTGGCTGGTAACAGCTAATAGGTTTGAGTTCCACAGACAGAATAAGAATCATTGAGCGCTAGCCTGGAGTCATAAGATAATTATCTGATGGCTGAAGGTGACCAAAGAATAAACATTTCGATGATTGAGAAAGGATTTTTTGGAGGTGGTCTGTGTGTGGTTGGGTTGGGTGAGAGAAATTAGGCTGAGAGGGGAAGTGGGGACATTTCCATTCGTATGAGAGATGTCCAGGAACCTGTAGTGGCTTGGAGGCATTATGTTACATTTAATGATGGCTGGAGAAGTGTAATGACAAATGCTTGTTCCCAGAAAAGAATTGATGGTAAAATTATGATGCGAGTGGACATGACCCTTGCAAGGATAGACTGGAGCATATTCAGAGGTTTTTCTCACAATGGGTATTTGTCTGGTTTAAAATGGTGTAAGAAAGGAGAGGGAAGGTATAGCAAAATAGGAATTCTGATTTCTCACAGGAATCTTGGAAATGCCAGATGTGCCCACAGGAAAGGAAGCACAGTACCCTCAGTCTGTGGCGTTATGGGAAGTGGTGACTAGTCCAGCCCAGGCTTGCCAAAGGCTCTGTGGATGAATAGTCTTGCTAACAGATAAGGAAAAGGCAGAGCTGGGCGAGAACAAGGAGCTCCTAAATTTAGGGACAGAAAAATGTAAGAGAAGACTAATCTCAGATGAGGAAAAGTCATAGTGAAGGCTGTGAACCTTAAAGGCAATCATCAGTCTATGAGAAATTAGGTACCCACATCCTACAATAGCCCACAAGATCCAAAAACCTCTGTTATTTTGTTTCAGGAAGAGGAAAATGATGAATAGTAGAAGCTCTGCCTGTGAAGATAATTTTACCTGCAGCTGAAATACCATGACCCAGATATTGAACACACAGAATAATTAAACTTTTCCTCTAGAAACTTTGTGGTCTTTTCTTGCCATTGCCTTAAAGTATTCAGTGTCCTAAAGGGAGTTGTCATAACTGAAAGTGCATAGAAAGAGGTCATTTACATATTGGATTACAGTGGAGTCTTCTGGGAATTTTAAGTCCATCAAATAGGTTCATGAGAAATATGTAGGGCCATAGTAAATCGTTGGGGCATAACAGTCCAGGTGTATTGTTTATTTTCCCAGGTGAAGGCAAAGTAGTGAGATTCTTTATGAGGGGAATATTATAAAAGGCAGAACACAGCCGAGAGCGGTGGCTCATGCCTGTAATTTCAGCACTTTGGGAGGCTGAGGCAGGCTGATCACAAGGTCAGGAGATCGAGACCATCTTGGCTAACATGGTGAAACCCCGTCTCTACTAAAAATACAAAAAATTAGCTGGGCGTGGTGGTGGATGCCTGTAGTCCCAGCTACTTGGGAGGCTGAGGTAGGAGAATGGCGTGAACCTGGGAGGCAGAGCTTTCAGTGAGCTGAGATCAAGCCACTGTACTCCAGCCTGGGCGACAGAGTGAGACTCTGTCTCAAAAAAAAAAAAAAAGGCAGAACACAAATGAATCACCATGAAATATTGCATGTTGGAAGAGATAACAGACAGATAGTGTTAGGATTAGGCACCAAGGGAAATCTTGATTTGACAGTGTAATTGATAGATCCCAGGAAGGAACTGATATCCTTTCTCACTTGACTTTTTAATAGCCAAATGGGAGTAATGCATGGATTAGAAGTGGGGTCTTATGTCTAATAAGCCTCTCATTATCAGGGAGAGCAACTTCTAGTCCTTGTGGTTTTAAACGATATTGGGGAATCCTGGGGAGAGGCTTGGAAGGATCTGTTTCTACCTTATATGGGTTCTGTATCGCATATACCTTAGATAATTTTAATAGTTTGCTTAAATCTTTATTTAAGTAGATAGGTTGAAGTGGGCAAAGGAACTCTCTGCTTAGGGGAAGTCAGACAAAACCATTAGGGGACATAGACATGAAGAGGAAGACTCAGGGGTGGGTAGAAGCAGTCCAGCAGGAATTTTTGTACCTCCATTCATGAGAAGATACTTTCCACACAAGTTTACTGGGGTAGTGGAGCTGAGTAGAAAATTATGTTGACCTTTAAGAGGTCCCTTAGAGATATGAGGATGAGCTGGGGGCAAAGCATCAAAACCCACCACTGGTAAAGTTTGGTGACTGTGGGGAAGGGGGCAGGAAGTGAGGTCACGTTGAGGGTAGAATGTGTTGTCCTGGTATCGATGAGAGACGTGGAGGCCCTTTAACTTGTAGCATTATTTCTTCATGCAAGTTTAGTAGTAGTTGAGGGCATTGGGACATTTGCTTCTCTGGAGGAAAATAGACAGTTCTCTGGTGAGGAGGGGGACTTGGGTTTTTCCCTCCTCTTGAGCATTGGGCAATTCCAGGCCCAGTGTCTTTTTTCCTCACGATATCAGCACATTGTTGAGATCAATGGGAGCCTTCCATTGTGGAGCTTGCTGTGAGTTAAAAATTTCAGGTTTTTCCAGTTGTTTTAACTGCAGTGCCACAAGCTTACATTGTATATTTTCCAATGTTTTTGAAATACTATTTTCATATTATTGGGCTAATGTCTGGAGCCTAGACGTGTATACATTTTGTTAATTAATATTATTTTTCTGTAATGTGTCATGGAGGTCTGGCCTGAAACTATTTACAAAGATTGCATGGCCTGAGCAGAGGCTGTTTGGAAAGTCAGTTCCACCCCTGAATTCTCTTTCCATGTTGTCTTTAATTGATGGTGATAGCCACAGTTTCATCAGTTTGTTATTTACAATGTTAGATATGTGACCAATCAATTTTAATGGGAGAGATTTGATGGATGGCTCCTAGTAATTTCTTACTTCCCTCGGGGTATCAGGGGTAGCCTGAGACCCTTGTGCACCCAAGGAAGGAACTGAGGTTCATCAGAAATAGTGGTCCATTTAGCTTTTTCAAAGCAAAGGGAGGCATTTCCAGGCCCAACCAACAGGCAGATAAGTTGATTTAAATCACGGAATCCCAGAAAGTATGCACCTAGAATGATTCTAAATTGTTCAACAAACCTTTCCCTTTCCTTTCTGTGGTCAGGAAAGTATTTGGTGATAGGATGCAATTCAGACCTAGACCAAGGTTTAAATGTTCTCTCTTCTATTAGCCTCACTTGGGAACAGGTACTGGCTGATCCTGGGCTTCATCTGAAGGAGATGGAGGCCAGTGAACCTTTTGGTTACAGGGAGGTGAGGGACTGGAGGAGGGGGCAGATGGTGGAAGAGAGTTTGGGAGAGGAGGCTATAAAGGAAAGCTGGGAGGGGAATATGGAGGTGCTGTTGAGAGCTCTAGGAACTTTACTGAGTCAGAAAAATTTTTCTACAGACAGTGCGAAAGAGCCTCAGTAGTTTGACTGAGATTTGAATTATTTAGCTGTTTTTTGGCTTCTTAATACCAAGTGAAATAAGCAGACCGCTGTGCATCCAAAAGCTTTGTTCCTTTTTGCTCTAGGGCTGTTTTTAGATGGACTAATTTAGGGATATACGAGGAGCCCCCACCATAGCTGAAGAGAGTTTTTGGTAAGGCTTTGCCAGTGAGAAAGCAAGCAGACAGTATTAGAACTATAGTGGCAAAGCAGGAGTTTGATAAAGTGAGGTTTCAATTGAGAAGTTCCCATGGGAGAAGCAGGATTAAACAGACAGAAGAGAGAGGCCTTATAAAGAGCAGGGAAAAAATTCCAGCCCAGGCACTGGGGAGTGGATCCCCACTGGAAACAAAGAGCCAGGAAAAGTCTTCATCCCAGGAGACAAAGATCCAGGAAGAATTTTCCAGCCAAGAGCCAGGCTCAGGAGTCAGGGAGTAAATGTCTTCTTGACGCAGTGAGCCCCAGAAAGAAAGACGTCTAGCTGAGTAGATGCCTTTCAAACAAAGAAGTCTGGGCCTCTAATCCAGCTTCAGACAATGTAATCAGAATCTTAATCAAAATCTTTCCTCACTGTGATTCGATGGACATTTATCTGGAGCACTGGATATTGGAGTCACTCACCACCAGATACCCAAAAAGCAAGCAGACTGAAGACAAAGTCTTGGTGTATGCTTAGAGATTGGTTATTGTGTCCAAGAGTCTAATGGTGGTTCAGATCCAGATCTGAATCATGGACGAAAAACTGTTAAAGAAAAATAAGAGATAGTAGTTAAAATGGTAAAAACAGATTTTATTCAGGAAAAGCTGCAATAGAAGAAGGGATTCCAGTATAGAACTGGGCTTAATTCCATATAGAGAGCATGCACAAGTGGGGATTCCTAATTCCAAATAGCATGGTCAAGAGAGCAGGGATGGGGGTCAGTGGATGAAAAATTACTAAGAGGAAAGAAACATCACAGGTAAGGCGATTCTGGTTAAACAGAACTAACAGGATCCTTGCTGCAGGTTGGCCAGGGTGATAAGATACCAAGGGTGGCAGTGAGGAATTTGATCAGATATTGAGGGTGATTTCAATATCTGGGGAGTTCTTTCTCAACTGACCTTGTAAGATTCCTGTTACAACTGGGTGATGTAAAGAGGAACACAGAAATCCAAAGCTCTAGGCCTAGTTGAGATGAGGTTCAGAAGAGCCTGACTAAAGTTTGGTCAAGGAGAGCATTTTATCACTGTGTGCAGGACGCTATACCAAGTACTTTATGAAAATGAGCTAACTTAATCCCCAAGTCAACCCTATGTGATAGATATAACTCCTTTTTTACATAAAAGAGAATTGTTGCAAAGAAGTTAAGTAAACTGTCCAAGGTCACACAGCTAGCATGTATTAGAGACAATATTTAAACTTGAGTATCTGACTTCAACCATTAGTATTTACTGCCTCCTGGACTCCTTGGGGCCTCCACATCTCCTTTGGTGTGTTGTTTGGTTAGAATATGTGTGATGTTTCAATGATCTCTAAGAGTTAAACTGTGTTTGAAGTTAAGAGTTAAAGGGAAGTATTTGGATCTATAGGTGACTGATTACAAATTTAGTTTAATAGATAGTAATTGAGTAATTTAGTTACATAAGAATTTAAAAGGGGGCACCATATATTAAATGCCTATAACATCACTCTGGTTATTAAAATTATACATTAGACTTTAAGGTAGTGACTCAAGACAACATAATCAATAGGTCAAAAAATTATCACAAGAATGTGTGCTAAGAAAAGGCCATAAGATGGTTTCATGCCCTTTTCCTCCTGATAGGTTCACTTATATGTGTGACCCTGATGCTGAGCTTGAGTTTCTGTTAGTACTTATGATAACTAATCTTCATAGGACCTGCTTCTAATGATTTTGGTATCCTAAATTCTGGGCACTGGTGAGTAATAATGAGGTCACTTTGTAGTTTAGCAGACTCTCACTTTGTTTCTTTTAATATGGAAATTAGAGTTCCAAGTTCTTGAAGGTAAGAAACACCTGCCACTAAAAAGAAGGTTAAAATGTCCTCCTGAAGAAATGTTGTATCTGGCTGTTATTAAAAAGCCAAAAATTAATGGATGATGGCGAGATTGTGGAGAAAAGGGAATCCTTACACACTGCTGGCGAGAATGCAAATCAGTTCAGCCCCTGAGGAAATCCCCAGTTTGGAGATTTCTCAAACTAAAATAGAATTACCATTCCACCCAGGAATCCCATTACTAGGTATATACTCAAAGGAAAATAAATTGTTCTACCAAAAAGACACCTGCACTTTTATGTTTATCACAGCACTATTCACAATAGCAAAGATATGAAATCAACCCAGGTACCCATCAAAGGTGAATTAGATAAAGAAAATATGGTACATATACACGAAGGAATACTACACAGCCATAAAAAGAACAAAATCATGTCCTTTGCAGCAGCATGGATGCAGCTGGAGGTCGTTAACCTAAGTGAATTAACACAGGAACAGAAAATCAAATACTGCATGTTCTCACTTATAAGTAGGAGCTAAACACTGGGTACGCATGGACATAAATATGGGAAAAATAGACACTGAGGACCTAGAGCCAGGAGAGAGGGAAAAGAAGAAGGGTTGAAAAACTACTTATTGGGTACTTTGTTCACTACTTGGGTGATGGGATCATTAAAAGCCCTAACAGCTTCACACAATATAATGGTATAACAAACCTGCATGTGTAATAAATTTAAAAATTAAAAATTTTTAAATGCCATATCCTTATGCTGATTTCTGTGAACATATACATGGCTCTTTTGCCTCATTTAGGTCAAGAAGATGTTCCTTTTTGAATACAAATCTCTCTCTAAAGGATACTTTTTAACCATTCTCACTTTATTGTTCAAGCCGACCTTGTATAGTGAAGTTTTTGTTGCTTTGAAAATAGGAGTAGTAGGCCAGGCGTGATGGCTCACGCCTGTAATCTCAGCACTTTGGGAGGCTGAGGTGGGTGGATCACCTGAGGTTAAGAGTTCGAGACAAGCCTGGCCAACATGCAACATGGTCTTTACTAAAAATACGAAAATTAGCTGGGCGTGGTGGAGGGCACTTGTAATCCCAGCTACTCAGGAGGCTGAGGCAGGAGAATGGCTTGAACCTGGGAGGTGGAGGTCTCAGTGAACCAAGATCACACCACTGCACTCCAGCTTGGGTGACAGAGTAAGACTCTGTCTCAAAAAAAAAAAAAAAAAAAATAGGAGTAATATTTAGTCTGTGTTTTTTTCCTTGTAGAAAAGACTTTATTCTAAGGAAGACCATGCAATGCACTGTCCATGTCAGCAAAGAGATGTTTATACCATAGTGTTTGAATAGATTTGGGCATAAATACTTTAAAAAATATAATAAGGTCACTAGACCCTGGGTGGGCTTGGGATAGAAGACAAAGTTGCGAAAGAGGCTCTGAGAACAGAGTTGGAACTAGATAAAGGTGTGCCTGCTTTACAGTTTTTCTTGAGTTCATCATTTAACACAATGCCTCTGAAAGTAACTTACTGCTGTCTTTGATAGGAATGCATATTGGTGTATTGCCAGTGCCACAGCTGGGATGTCTGGACTAATTTTGAAGGTTGCAAACTGCCACGTACCCACCTTCAGACCTGTCTTGACTTTCTGGCCTTTCCCCACACTGAATGAATGGAGTGGGAGGGAAGAGCCTAGACAGAAACATATGTTTTCTATTTATTTCTTCCTACTTCTTTTTTTTTTTTGAGATGGAGTTTCGCTTTTGTCACCCAGGCTGGAGTGCAGTGGTGCAATCTTGGCTCACTGCAACCTCTGCCTCCCGGGTTCAAGTGATTCTCCTGCCTTAGCCTCCTGAGTAGCTGGGATTACAGGCATGCACCACCACACCCAGCTAATTTTTGTATTATTATTAGAGATGGGGTTTTACCATGTTGGCCAGGCTGGTCTCGAACTCCTGACCTCAAGTGATCCACCCGCCTCGGCCTCCCAAAGTACTGGTGTGAGCCACCATGCCCGGCCTTCCTACCTCTTTTCATACCCAATGCTTAGAGGTTTTCCTTTGAGTTGTGGATATGAAGACCTATAAAGTATTTGCTAAAAAATATCTCCAAGTAAATACAGTCTCTGTACAATATTTCTTGAATTTGTAAATTTGAAAACCAGAGATGACAATTTGTTTGGTAAATACATGGATAGTTTGAAAGCTTAGTAAGATCCAAGTTTCATTTATTTTTATTTTTTTCTTGTTTCCAGTAGGCTTGGAAGAGTCCAAATTTTAGACATGTATACAAAGGCAGTACATGAATTGGAAAGAAGAGGGAAGTTAATACTTCTAGCTTTTCTCTTTTAGAGAGATTAGCTTTCTATTATTTTAACAGAATAGCTTACCAAAATGTTCTTTCCCTATTTTGTGATGAACATAACTGAAATCTTGTATCTAATTAAATTCAATTCCTACCTAAAAGTTTTCACAAAAAAGATTATAGTTCATGTTTATGACTAAAGAAACAAACAGAAGTTGTTTATAAAGTGTTTGGTGGAAATTTTAATGTCCTTGTTTTCACCAGTTAAATTAATGATGGCTTGAAAGTCTTTCTTCTTTCTTGAAAGTTTTCTTTTCTTTGAAATGCTATTTGTTTTTCTGGTTATTGGTTACTTGTGGACAGATAGCAGTTGTGAAGACATAAACTACCGATTGTTAAAAATTTCAGCATTCTCTTTTTAAAAGAAATCGGCAAGCCAATTCTAAAATTTATATGGAAATGCAAGGACGTAGAATAGCCAAAATAATCTTGAAAATGAACAAAGTAGGACTCACTTACCTTTGAAAGTTACTCTAAAGCTATTGTAATCAAGACTGTGTTATTGGCAAAAGGACAGATATATAGATCAATGGGATCCAGTTGGATCTGATCCAGTCAGATCCAGTTCCAAAAATAGAACTACACATATGTGGTCAAATTTGATGAGGATGCTGACGTGATTTAATGGGAAAAAGAAAGTGTCTTCAACATATGGTGTTCGGAAAGGTGTTTTTCCACATGCAGAATAAAAAGGACTTTGATTCCTACCTTACACCACAGACAAAAATTAACTTGAGATGAATCAGGACCTAGACTTAAAAGCTAAAACATTACAATTTCTAAAGGACAACATAAAAATATCTTTGCAATTTATCTTAGGACACAGAGAGCACTACCATTAAAAAGTTGATAAATTGGACTTCATCAAAAATAAAAACACCTGCTCATCAGAAGATAACGTCAAGTAGATAAGCCTTTGTTACAATTATATTTGACAAAAGGCTTGTGTCCAGAATATATAAAGAATTATTCAATTATTAAAAGAAGGCAATCAACATTTTTAAATGGGCAAAAGATTTGAACAGACATTTCATAAAATAAGGAATATCACTGGTCAAAAAGCACATGAAAAAGTGCTCATGATCATTAGTCATCAGGGAAATGCAAAGTGAGATGCCACTGGCTACCCACCAGAATGGCTAAAATTAGCAAGATTGATCATACCAAATGTTGGGGAGAATGTAGAACTGTCAGTGATTGCTGGTGGGGGTATAAAATAGTACAACTACTCTGGAAAATGTTTGGCAGCAATTCCACTTCTATGTACTTATCCCAGAGAAATGAAAATATATACCTACAAAAGTCATATGTAAGAATGTTCATGGCCACTTGATTGAGAATAACCAAAAACTGTAAAAGCCCAGTGTGTATGGTAGGAAAAAACCAATTTTCTCCTACTGTACTCTTAACACAAAGGGTATAGTGACCAGATGTGTGGATTTTTCTCACACTGACCAATTCTCTGATGCTAGCCGGATAGCCTATATTCAATTCACTTCTGACACTAACTAGAGCTCATGCAGATCTCTCATGGATTAAGAGCTCAGTCTCACAAGACTGTGCCCTACTTCATATACCAATTGCAAGCAGTAGGTTCCCAGGTCACCACAACTTCTGACCAGTTTGGTCACAAGTGGGAGGTTACCACAACCCCCTTCTCAGGTTCAGTAATGTGCTAGAGCAGCTCATAGAACTCAGGGAAACACTTATATTTATCAGTTTATTATAAAGGATTGTTTTAAGGGATACAGGTGAACAGACAAAGAAGTACTCTGGGTAAGATATGTAGGAAGCGGCATGGACCTTCCATGCCCTCTCTGGGTGTTCCACCCTCCTATCATCTCCATGTCTTCAGCATCCCAGATGCTTTCTAAACCCTGTAGTTTAGGGATTTTTATGGAGGCTTCATCATACAGGCTGAGCATTTATTAACTCATTTTTCAGCCCCCTCCTTTTCCTGGACGATGGCATAGTGTGTCTGAAAGTTCCAGGCTTCTAATTATGGCTTGGTCTTTCTGGTGACCAGCCCCCATCCAGGAGCCCACCAAGAGTCACCTCATTAGAACAAAAGACACTCTTATCAATGCCCAGGAAGTTCCAAGGGATTAGCAACTCTGTTAGAAACTGGCGCCACAGACCAAATATTAGAACAAAAGATGCACCTAGCATCCCTCTTGCTCAGGAAATTACAAGAGTTTTGGGAACTCTCTGCGAGGAACCAGGGTCAGGGATCAAATACACATTTCTTATTGTATCACAATATCACATCCAGGTGCCCATCAGCAAGAGCCTAGACAAGCAATCTGGTATATCCATACAGTAGAACACTGCTCGGCAATAAAAAAGAACAAATTGCTGATACATGTAATGGCAAGGATAAATCTCAGAAGCATTAAAGGACATGAAAGAAGCCAGACACAAAATACTTTATACCGTATGATTCCATTGATATAAAGTTATAGAATAGTTAAAACTAATCTGTGGTAACAAAAATCGGATCAGTAGTTGCTTCTGGTTGTGGAGGGAGGGGAATGTTGACTGAGAAGAAGCAAGAGGGAATTCTACAGGTTGATAGAAATGTTCTATCTTCTGGTAGGGGTGTGGGTTATATAGGTATAGTCACTTACCCAAACTGATCAAACTATAGACTTAAGATATCTGCATTTCACTATATTTAAATTATAACCTCAAATTAAAAAATCTCACACAAAAAATAGCAAGGTATTTTCCTATCTCTTATTCTGACTCTCTTTCTTATTCTCTTAAAGTATTGGACAGCCCAGTCCCACTATACTGAGGCAATTTTTGAAAGAAAATAAAATTTATTACTTTTATTATCTTTTAATGTATCCACTATACTCTATATAGGGCATCATTTAAACTCTTTTTCAGTCTTTGTTGTTGTTGTTACAGTGAAGAAGAAAAGCTATCCAGAAGAACAAAATAGCACAGCCGTGTAAACTTGCAATGATTTGGCAAGTTTTTGAAGTTATTTAATCCTGATAAGTTAAAATCCCTTGAAGCATATTTATACATTCATCTTTCCAGACAGCTACTGCTTATTTGCTCTTTCATTCAAGTGAAGGTTATTGAGCACCTCCTATGAGTAGATGTTTTATCAGATACTGAGTAGGCATGCTACGATGAGTACGCAACCAAGTCCCTGCCCTTAACAACATTCCTAGTTTAGAAGTGATAAATACAAAACTAAATTCCATTGCAACAAGAAAGGTACAGCACTGTACAAACTGCTGCTGTGCATTCTTTTGAGGAAGCAATGTCTTCTGCCTTGGGTGCTTGGGAAGATTCCACAGAGGAAGTGACATTTGAGCCAGTTTGTATGAATAGTTAGAGTTGTGGATAGGAGTTGGAAGAAGGGGGACATTTTAAGAAGATGACTAGAAGTGTAATTGAATAGTTTAGTGAGTCTTTTATTCTCCCTAAACCTTTAGGTAAAGGTTCTGTTAGTATCTACTGAAATAGAAGTCTTTTGCAGTAGCATAGTCAGTGTTTAAACTAGGACACCAAATATTTTCCGGTTTTTCCCTCACCAATAGCAGCTAATATTTATTGAGAACAAAGGATGTGACAGGTACTCTGCTTAATGTTTTAATTTAATTTAATATAATCTCCATAGCAATTTAATGCATTAATATTACTGTCCCTATAGATTAGGAAAATTGAGGATTGAAGTAATACCCTTTATAAGTGGACAAGCTGGGGATTCTTTCCCAGGTTTCTTTGCCTCCCAAGCCTGGGATCTTTAAAATGCCTACTCTGTGTGTGTTGCTCTTAGTATGAGCCCAGAGAAAGCAAGCCAAGGCAACTCTGAAGTGTCTTGCAGTCACTTAAAAGAGGGGGGATTTACCTGTTTTCCAAAATATGGCCTGCCCACCTTTTGTATTTAAGTTTCAGTTCATTGCCAATATGTATAATTATTTATAAACTCAAAATAATCTGTTTTATTTTTATTTCTATCTACATGATACTTTAATTTCATGTATGAAAAATTGCCAAGTAATCATTCTCTAAGCTTTCTACAGTATCCATTTTATAAGTTAAAGAATCATAGCAGTAAAAACTATAAGCTCTTTATAGCCATTTCACTCTAATTATTAGAGTGAGAACCTTGAAGATTTTGCCCTTTGAAAATGACTTGTTATTTGGGCAATCTGGCTTCTCACTATTTAACAAGTGTTGCTTAATGTACCATGTAGGAACATTTGATGTGCTCCACAGCCACTCACAGCTTCTGATAATTCTGTTTGTGCCAGCCTTGAGAGATCACTGAGTGGTAGTTTAAGATTGTGCTCCAGTATAAAAGTGGCAAGGTTTGTCTTTTAAACAAACATGTATTTTTTTCAGAGTAGAAGATAAATTTTTGACTAAATCAGTCATTTGCCGTACTCTAAAATTCATTTTAGAAACTTGGTTTTAGGTTTGTAGTTTTTGCCCAAATGACCACTTAACATGGGACACCCACCCTAACCCCTACCTCTTTCCCAGGAAAATTAGATTTTTGTCCAAGATTCCACCAGTATTGAATATTTGCTCTTGCCAGATATCTTGTCAAAGGTACATTGTCTGCTTTTGGTTGACCAATGGGGTATGGGTTGTTATGCCAGATGAGTGTCACCTAGTAGTGGAATTAGAAAATCATCAACCAAGGGCCCGACATAGTGGCTCACATCTGCAATCCCAGGGCTTTAGTAGGCCAAGGTGGGAGGATTGCTTGAGCCCAGGAGTTTGAGACCAGCCTGGGCAACATAGCAAGACCTTGTCTGGTGACACACACCTGTAGTCCTAGTCACCCAGGAGGCTGAGGTGGGAAGATCACTTGAGCCCAGGAGTTCTATGAGCTGCTCTAGCACATTACTGAACCTGAGAAGGGGGTTCTGGTAACCTCCCACTTGTGGCCAAACTGGTCAGAAGTTGTGGTGACTTGGGAACCTACTGCTTGCAATTGGTATATGAAGTAGGGCACAGTCTTGTGAGACTGAGCTCTTAATCCATGAGAGATCTGCATGAGCTCTAGTTAGTGTCAGAAGTGAATTGAATATAGCCCACACTCTTTCTGTAATACCACACTTCCTTAGTAATAAGAAATAACAAAATATTTAAAAGTAATAACTTCCAGTTAAATCTTTTTAGGACATAACTTCTCTCTTTCAGACTCCGTTTTAAATGATACTTCATTTTGTGGTCCAAAATCTCTTCTTCCTACATATTTCAATAGCATTTTACCTATACTTATACCTAGACCTCTCTAGAAGATTTATCTTCATAACATATTTGATTTTTATAGCACTTTACTTCTTTTATGACACATTATCATGTTATTTTCTATTAATCACGCATTCACATAGTTGATTAGTTCCTCCAGGACCATAAACTCCTTGAGGTAAGATCTGTCTATTGGATCTTTGCACCCACCTCAGTACCAGCATGCATGAAGAAAAAAGTGTGAAGTACTCCTTGGTCTACTATAGCATTAGGAAGCTATCAACCCATTATTCTGCTTCCATTAAATGTTTTCCAATGCATGATGGTTAGTGACTTTTTAAATTTAATTCTTAATTTTTCTTAGAGTCAGAATATTGCTCTGTTGCCCTGACTGCAATGCCACGATCATAGCTCACTGCCTCAGGCTCCTGAGTAGCTGAGACGACAGGTGCATGCCACCACACACAGCTAATATTTCATTTTTTTGTAGAGTTGGGTTTTGGAATCAGACTTGTCTGTACATGTCTACCATTTAATAACTGTCATGCATCACATTGCTTCATACTTTGAACTTCAGTTTTCTCAAGTGTAGCATCATAGAGGAGTTGTGATTATCTAAATGATTAAATGGGATTACACTTTTAAAAGCTCCTACAAAATGCCTGGCACCTGGTCACTTTTCATTATATGCTGGTTCCTTTTGTTCTCCTGTCTGACCCAGTTCAAAGTCCCTTCTGTCCCATTAGCTTGTTTTATGAACATGGAGGCAAGGATTCTGGGTAGGAGGCAGTTGTAGTACTTCATTCATTAAGCATTTGCTGACTACTTTGTATAGTGGAAATCCAGAGGAAGGGATTGTTATTATTATTATTGTTATTATATTTTGAGACCGGGTCTCACTATGTTGCCCAGGCTGAAGTACAGTGGCACAATCATGGCTCACTGCAGCCTCAACCCCCCAGCCCAAGTGATAATTCTACCTCAGGCTCCTGAGTAGCTGAGACGACAGGTGCATGCCACCACACCCAGCTAATATTTAATTTTTTTGTAGAGATGGGTCTCACTGTGTTGCCCAGGCTGGTCTTGAACTCCTGGGCTCAAGCGATCCTCTCGTCTAAGCCTCCTGAAGTGCTGGGATTACAGGCATGAGCCACTGCACCTGGCCTAGGATTAACTATTTTATAGGCATTTAGGAAGTAGAATGGGTTAGATACAGGAATTCAGGGAGAATTAGGGGAAGGTGGATAGAAAAGAGGCTAAACTGATTTTCTTCTATAATCTTTGGAATCAAACGAAGAAGGGCAAATTGATTATTCTTCTCAGGAAAAGATTTACTTTATCTTTAAACGTATAGGTAACATTAGCTGTCTTCTACCTGATAAATTTGTTTTCTATAAGTTTTGTACCTTTTTTTAAAAAAGAAATTATTTGTATCATAAAGGACCTAAATAATATACATGGCATGAATGTACATCTGCCTGTGAATGCTGAATTTATTCTAGAAAATATTGCTTTGCACTCTTTGATTCTAGCTTGTGTTGCTGACCTCACTAGTATAATTATTGGCTGACTTTGTCTCTTTTTCCATTTCCTCCCAATCAGTTTGGTAAAGGTTGCTCTTACAACATCTGTCACAGCTTTGGAAAGGAAGGCAAGAGGACAGACTATACACCTTTCAGTTGCCTGAAGATTATTCTATCCAATCCACCAAGCCAAGGGGATTATCATGGTAAGTGCCTCCACTGGATATGTTGGCCAAGTACAGAAATCCAAGAGCTCTGTTGGAAACACTGAAACAATGCTGCGGCTTTTTGCATTCCTGTCAGGACCTAGTTTGTAGCTTATGTCAGTCGTCACTGTCAAGCTAGAGCTCCATTACTCTTAGAACAATTTGTCTTATTACTGAACTAGGTCAGGCAAGAGAAATTCATTCAGCTGCACTTCAGTTTGTGCTGGATTAGGCTTTTCAGTTCTCACTTTCTTCCTTCCCGCTGTTCTCTGTCTCCCTCATCTTCTGCAGTGTTCTGCGAGTGTCTTAGAGGGCGATGTAAGTTTTACAAAGCTTTTTGAAATTAGAATATTCTAAGTTTGGAATAGTAGATTCATTAATTTTCCAAAGGCTAACTACTAAGGAAAAGTGTGAGGTTTTTTTCTTATCACCATCATCTGATTAACCAACAAAGATTAAGTGGGCAATTTAACATGTCGTGATATCTGCCATAACTATCAGTTTGCCTGAGTTATTTATAAAGAAAAACAAAACATCTCATTTGTCTGGTATGTCCAAGAATGAATTAATAGTTTATATCAGTAAATTTTCTGGATTATCAAAGCTTACTACAGTATGTGTCAAAACTTATTTTTGTTTTAGAATCTTAAACACTTTTTAAAAGACTGCACACTTTTGGACTGCTAAAGATCAAATAATCATAAACAATATTTTTAGAAAGACATTCTATGTGACCAAATCATTAAAAAATGCCTATATATTCATTAGTTAATAGATGAAGAAGTGGCCAGCACTAGTTATATAGATAGGCAGATAAGATAGATCTATATATAGACATAGATTTTTTTTTTTTTTGAGACAGAGTTTCGTTCTTGTTGCCCAGGCTGGAGTGCAATGGTGCAATCTCGGCTCACTGCAGTCTCCACCTCCTGGGTTCAAGCAATTCTCCTGCCTCAGCCTCCTGTGTAGCTAGGATTACAGGCACCTGCCACCCAGCCTGGCTAATTTTTTGTATTTTTAGTAGAGACGAGGTTTCGCCTAGTTGGCCAGGCTGGTGGGCCTCAGGTGATCTGCCCGCCTTGGCCTCCCAAAGTGCTAGGATTACAGGCCTGAGCCACCACAACCAGCCTGGTAATAGATATTGAGTGGTTTTTATCACTTATTTCAGAGTCCCTTGAGGTACTTTTTTAGAAATGCAGATTCTCAGGGTGCACCCTCAGTCATATAAAATCAGACTTTATTTGCAAGTACACTGGGTGAGTTTTATGTCTTCTAAAGTTTGAAAACCATGGGTCCAGGTACTTCTGTTGAGGAAGCCTGAAGCCTTTTTTAGCTTAGCAGCCATACCAGGCAGTCAACTTATGATTAAGCTTGTGGCCAAGTAAAACTCCCAGGGATTTGTCTGCAAATTTCCAGGTTCTAGCATTTGTCTCTTAATTAGTTGGTTTTCTTTAGCTTAAATGCAAAACTTTATTTCTGTTAAGTTGTATCTTGTTATCCCAGTGCTTTATGTTATTATTTTGTTTCTAAGTTCAACTCTGTCAGTCAAGAAATATTATACTTAGCACTCAATGAACTCATTATTTGTTGGACATTTACTTACTCCGTTTTTAAAAAGTAATAAACTTAATTTTTTAGAGCTGTTTTAGGTTCACAGCAAAATCGTGTGGGAAGTTCAGAGTTCCCGTATACCTCCATGCCCCAACATACGCACAACCTCCGTTGCTGTCAGTATCCCACACCACACTGGTACATGTGTTACAATTGATGAACCTACATTGACAAATCCTTATCATCCAAAGCCCATAGTTTACAAGAGTTCATTGTGTATTTTGCATAACAGTACTTTATCAGATTTGTCTTTTGCAAATGTTTTCTCCCCATCTGTGCTTCTGTTCTTTTCTCTCTTTTTTCACCTTTTGGGATTTCATTTACACACACGTTATACCTTTTATAGTTGTCCCATAGTTCTTAGGTATTGTATTTTGTTTTGTTTTGTTTTTGTCTTTTTTCTCTTTGCTTTTTAGTTTCAGAAGTTTCTATCTGTCACATCCACAAGATCCAAGGATTTTCCCCAGTCATGTCCAGTCTACTGATGAACCTATTGAAGACATTCTTCATTTCTGTTACAGTGTTTTTGATCACTAGCATTTCTTTTTTGTTCTTAGAATTTTCATGTCTCTGCTAGCTGGTTATTCCAACACATTTATTGAATAGGGAGTCCTTTCTCCATTGCCTATTTTTATTGACTTTGTTGAAGGTCAGATAGTTGTAGGTATGCTGTCTTATTTCTGATTCTCTATTCTGTTTCATTAGTCTATGTGTCGGTTTTTGTACCAGTACCATACTGTTTTGGTTACAATGGCCTTATAGTATAGTTTGGAGTTAGGTAGAGTGATGCCTCTGGCTTTGTTCCTTTTGCTTAGGATTGCTTTGGTCATTTAGGCTCTTTTTTAGTTCCATATGAATTTTAGAATAGTTGTTTTCTTATTCTGTGAAAAATGACATTGGTAGTTTGATAGAAATAGCATTGAATCTGTACATTACTTAGGGTGGTATGGCCATTTTAATGATATTGATTCTTCCAATCCATGAGCATGGAATGTTTTTCTGTTTGTGTTGTCTCTGATTTCTTTCAGCAGCGTTTTGTAGTTCTTCTTGTAGAGACCTTTCACTTCCTTGCTTAGATGTATTCCTAAATATTTTATTTATTTATTTTTTGGTGGCTACTGTAAACAGAATTGTGTTTTTGATTTGGCTCTCAGCTTGAACATTGTTGGTATGTAGAAATGCTACTGATTTTTAAGGCTGGTCGTGGTGGATCATGCCTGTAATCCCAGCACTTTGGGAGGCCAACACGGGTAGATCACTTGAGGTCAGGAGTTCAAGACCAGCCTGGCCAACATGGTGAAACCTCATTTCTACTAAAATTAAAAAGCAAAACAAAAATTAGCCAGGCGTGGTGGTGTGCACCTGTAATTCCAGCTATTCAGGAGGCGGAGGTTGCAGTTGGCTGAGATGGCACCACTGCACCAGGTGACAGAGTGAGACTCTGTCTCAAAAAAGAAATGCTACTGATTTTTATATATTAATTTTGTATCCTGAAACTTTGCTGAAGTCATTGATTAATTCCAGGAGCCTTTTTGGTGCATTCTTTAGGGTTTTCTAGGTATAGAATCATATCATCAGCAAAGAAAGATAGTTTGACTTCTTTTCCTATTTGGATGGCTTTTATTTCTTTCTTTTGCCTGATTGCTCTGGGTAGGACTCCCAGTAGTATTTTGAGTAAGAGTGGGGAGAGTGGGCATCCTTGTCTTGTTCCCATTCTCAAGGGAAATGGTTTGAGCTTTGGCCCATTCAGTATGGTGTTGGTTGTGGGTTTCTCTTGGATAGTTCTTATTATTTTGAGGTATATTCCTTTGGTATCTAGTTTTTTGAGGGTTTTTATCATGAAGGAATATTGGATTTTTTTTTTTTTTTTTTGGAGATGGAGTCTCACTCTGTTTCCCAGGCTTGAATGCAGTGGTGCGATCTGGGCTCACTGCAAGCTCCGCCTCCTGGGTTCATGCCGTTCTCCTGCCTCAGCCTCCTGAGTAGCTGGGACTACAGGTGCCTGCCGCCATGCCCAGCTAATTTTTTGTATTTTTAGTCGAGATGGGGTTTCACCGTGTTAGCCAGGATGATCTTGATCTCCTGATCTCGTGATCCGCCTGCCTCGGCCTTCCAAAGTGCTGGGATTACAGGCGTGAGCCACCACGCTTGGCCAGGATATTGGATTTTATTGAAAGCTTTTTCTATTGAGATAATATGTTTTTTGTTTTTAATTCTGTTTATGTGGTGAATCACTTTTATTGATTTGCATATGTTGAGTCAGACTTGCATCCCAGAAATAAAGCCTATTTGATCATGGTGAATTCGCTTTTTGATGTGCTGCTGGATTCAGTTTGCTAGTATTTTGTTGAGGATTTTTGATTCTATGGTCATCAGAGATATTGGCCAGAAGTTTTCTTTTTTTCATTGTGTCTCGGCCAGATTTTGGTATCAGGGTGATGCTGGCTTCATAAATTGAGTTAATGGGGGGAGTCGCCCCCCTTAGTTTTTTGGAATAGTTTTGGTAGGATTGGTACCGATTCTTCTTTGTACATCTGGTAGAATTTGGCTGTGAATCTACCTGGTCCAGGGCTTTTTCTGGTTGATAGGTTTTTTATTCCAGATTCAATTTCAGACCTCATTATTGGTCTGTTCAGATTTTCACTTTCTTCCTGCTTCAGTCACGGAAGGTTGTGTGTTTCCTGGAACTTAGTCATTTCCTCTAGATTTTCTAATTTGTGAAAAATGCACAATTATTAACTTACAAATCTATCATCTGTATGACTGAAAAAAAGACTTTTCTGTATTAAATTTTTAATAAGCATTTTGACTTACCATTGCAGTTTGTTAAAATATCTAAAATTTTCTAGATTTTGTCCTAAAACAGCTTTTGTATTTCAAATTCTTCTGTATTCTTATTTATGTGAATATTTCTAGTGGTCTTTCATTTTTTTCATGAAATAATATAACGATGACACATATCCACCATAAATTGTTTTTCTATGAAATAGTTTATTTTTTCATCTCATTTCCATCCATGATTCTTTTACATTTTCATAGATTCTACGCTTTAGGAAATAGGCATATAATTTACGTTTGAAAATGATGTTGAATTTTTTTCTTTCTCAGAGTTTGCATGTTTTTCATTTTGTTTATCTATCTTCCTTCTCTCATATGCCTTTTATATAATTTTTAGACTAGAATATAAGAAGATTGTTAAAGTTTTAAAATAAACTATTACATAGCTATTTTGTGATTATTTGTGCTTGTTAGCAAGGAGCATAATTAAAGCTGTTTTCCCTCTTCCTGTTGAATGGACATCTTAGCCTGAGAATGCTGCAATGTTTTATGTAACTCTTGAGCCTGGAGTGCCCTGATAACCATACAGCTAAGTAATCATTTAGATGAAAAGAGGAAAGCAGTTGCACCCATGGGCAATTACCTTTTTTTATTAATAAGCTGTTAGACAATTAAGGGGAGCTTAGATGGTCTCTCGAGTGTGGTATTGTACTAAGTTGTGGGTAAATAACCTTGTTTGTGTGCTGGCTTATTTTTTTGTTGTCAGGGTGCCCATTCCGTCACAGTGATCCAGAGCTGCTGAAGCAAAAGTTGCAGTCATACAAGATCTCTCCTGGAGGGATAAGCCAGGTAGGTCATATTCTTCTCTCTGCATCTGCAGTAATGAGGCCTTAGACAGATCTGTCGGTTTTATTTAATGTTCTTGCAGTGATGCTGTGTACCACTTGTCAGGCCTCACACCAGACATCTTATCTTCAAGATGAATTAAGTTAAAACCTTGACTTATCTGGTTTAGACTCTTGGGAAATTCTAGTTCTTCTGTCTGCTAAGCTGCATTTTTATTTTTCCTAGTCATAAAGGAAGCTGGAAACCTTCCTCCACACCTCAGTTTGTTTTACTATCTCAACTGGGGACTACATCTTTAAAAATAAAATTTTTGAGCAATGCATGGAAGCTTATTAATGAAGCTGAAAATTAATGACAGCATATTGCAGTTTGGGAAATTATTTTCTGAGCAGATGATAATGTAGTACATACTGGCTGAATGTTCTGATAGGCATCAGTTATTGCTGTGTTTAATCTACACTTCTGATGGTAGATCAAATAGTTTGTCAAAATACTTTGTCTTATGAACAATGGAAATGCTCAGATTGTAAAACCAAATGTGAAACAGTACATTTTTTAGTAGTAGTAACTCTACCTTTAAAAAATTAATATTGTGACATAGCAAAGACTATTTTCTATAGTGTGCTTTCAAGTTGACTGGAATTTTGAAGGAATAGGGGAAGAGCTTCTGCTTCCTTAGCTTAAGAAGAACATTATATATTTTAGAGTTAGAACATCTAAATCATCATACATCTTTAAACTGTTATTTTTATTTAAAGAAAATTGTTACTCTAGACAACTTTACAGCTGCTTCTGTGTCCAAAGTTCAGATAACAAATCTTAAACAGTTTTTTAGTACTTTGAGCAAAGCAGTGTTCAAGGTGCCATAGAGTATGCAAGGAAGAATCAGATATAAATCCTGCTCCCACAAAACCAGTGTCTGAAAAAAAAAAAACATAAACCAAGTGTCATGAGAGGTACACATAGACTGTTTTGGGTCTTCTGATGAGGGAAAGACTATAACCAGCTGAAGAGGTCAAGGAACCCTTTATGGAAGAGATGCCCTTTGAATTAGGCCTTGCACGAAGGTTGGGAATTAGGGAGAGAGAATGCACAAATGAAAGACTATAGGAGTATTAAGATTTCAAGCTTAGGATAATGGTGGCACCAATACATAAATACTAATAGGTAACTTAAAGGAAGTATAGTTGGTTTCGGTTTGAGTGACTTAATTTTAGTGGTTATAAACTGCTGCTAACATATTTGATAAGGAATCTAGAAATAAAGAATTAGTGGCTTTTTTTTAAGCAATCATAAAGGATCACCTTTTTGAAAACAATACAAGTTCTTAGTGTATCTATGTTAACATATTATGTCTGCATTTAAATGGTATTAATGTGGATTTAGGGCATTAGATAATTTAGGACTAGAAATCTGATGGTCTTTTCAGTTAGAATTGTAGCATAGGTAGAAAGCCATTCTCTTTTTTGGAGTCCTAGGATGTGACATGCCATGGTGCATAGGTAGGAAGTCAGTGGCAGAACCAAAAATTGAAGCCAGGCTTTCTGACTCTTAAGATTTTTTTTTTTTCCCTGAACTCCACTCTACTTTAGAGCTTATTATCATGAGTTTGCTGGAGGGAGAGAAGAGGTAGGGTGTCAAAAGCTGTGTTTGAAAATGTAATCTTGGCTAATCCTTCTCTTTGTCAAGCATTAAAAGGAGGTGGGATCAATGAAGACTGAACAGAAATGGGGAGAGAGGGAGAAAATACATTAGGGTAGTGAAGTATCACAAAAGTCAAGGAGAAAATTTTGAGAAGAGAATAAGTTCCACAGAGTCCCTTGTAGCAGAGATTTCTTTTCATGGAGAGAACTAAGAAAAGGTGGTTGGATATGCTGAGAGGATTATTTGACTTTGACTTTGGTGAGGTGTCAGTAAAATGGTGGAAACCAAAAGCAAGATTATACTTGCTTAAAAAATTAATGAAAGACAGTAAATAACCTTTCCAAAAAATGTGTCAGGCCAGGTGCAGTGGCTTGTACCTGTAATGCTAGCACTTAGTAGGGAGGCTGAGGCAGGCAGATTGCTGAGCCCAGGCATTCAAGACCAGCCTGGGCAACATGGCAAAAACCTGTCTCTACAAAAAATTAGCAGGTGTGGTGGCATGCAACTGTAGCCTCAGCTACTCAGGAGGCAGAGGTAGAAGAATCACCTGAGCCCAAGAAGTTGAGCCTCCAGGGAGCCGTGATCATGCCACTGCACTCCAGCATTGGCAATGGAGTGAGACCCTGTCTCAAGAAAAAAAAAAAGTGCCAGTAAAGGGGATGCTATAGTGGTATTAGCTTAAGCATCATTGTTCATTTCTGGGTTTAAGACCTGAGCCTATCTGTAGAAAGAGGAGGAGAAGAAAGAACTGTCAGAGAGGGTGGGCTTGATGAAGATATAAAAGAAAGAAAATATCTCTCTAACCAAGCAGAATTAAGTTCTCTTTTCTTTATACCATGACTGGATTGTACATGCCTTTGCTCTTAACATTTGTTACACTTGATTGTAATTATTTGTTTACCTGTTCATCTTTCCCAATAGTTTGTGAGTTTCCCGAAAGGAGGACTGGATTTTTACTTAACTTTCTGTCTCATGGCAATCCAATGAGTTACACTTGTTAGGTGCTTTAAAAATGTTGGAAGAGTGAATGGGCATATTTAGGTATGAGGTGGATGCTAGAGTATGCATGGTGGTATGCAGAGAGAGGCAAATAGGAACTCAAAGACACAAGTGAAAAAGTAACTTATTGGAGGAAGGACGATATGTACTTGAACCAAAGAATGGTGACAGAGAAAGTCATACCCCTCAGCAATGTGGGAACATAGAGGAAATAGTTAAGACACAGCAAAGGGAAGTTGATGGAGTGTATCAACTGGTCTCACTCTTCCTTGTAAATAAAGTAAGGAGGGTCATCAGCTGGAGAGTAAAGGGGTTATGAATGATATTCTGGTTATAGAAAATGTTAGAAACTACCACCAACAAATGTGATAGGGAATCTAGAAGAAATTAGAGGCGTTTTTTAGCAGTCATAAAGAATCACCTTTAAAAAAAATCTTAATATACTAACATTATCTCAAGAAAATTAATGTTTATAGTTAATAGTAATGACCATGTTTGTATACTCTTTGCTTTTGACTCCACTGTATTTCTCCATTTGCCCTTGATCCACAAGGATACTCCTTACTTAGCTGAAGCTGGTTAGTAATTTTCACATTACCCTTTAGACCTGCATTGTAACCTTTTATCTGAGATGAACACAGATGTATAGTGCATGCCAGCAAGCTGTAAATAATGTCTTGCTTTTATATGATGTCTTTATTGAGTGGATCTCACTAGAGTGAAGCAGCTGGTGGACTGTATTCTAAAGGGCAGAGAGTCAATGAATGAAAATGCCATGTAAAACATTTTGATGAGGTTGAATTTTGCAGGTTGGCCTAAGTGCAGATTAGATCTTGAAAACTCCAAGCGTACATTAAAATATTGAATGAGAGTTAAGAAAAACATCATTAAAATGTACGTAAGGTAGAACTCCATGTGGTTATTTTTATCTCAGAGAAAACTACTTGAAAAAGATACCTTCAACAATAGGAAATAGATTTTTTTTTTTTTAATTTTTGGAGACAGAGTCTTGCTCTGTCTTCCAGGCTGGAGTGCAATGGCGCAATCTCGGCTCACTGCAACCTCCATCTCCCGGGTTCAAGTGATTCTCCCACCTCAGCATCCCAAGTAGCTGGGATTACAGGCACCCTCCATCATGTCCAGCTAATTTTTGTATTTTTGTAGAGATGGGGTTTCACCATGTTGGCCAGGCCAGTCTTAAACTCCTGACCTTGGGTGGTCCGCCTGCCTCGGCCTCCCACAGTGCTGGGATTACAGGCGTGAGCCATCACGCCTGGCCAAGAAATAGATGTTTTAAATAATCAGAATTTTGGTGATCAGAAAAGAGATCATTGTGACTCAGCTGGTGTTGCTGATTTTTTTTATAAAGCATACTTACAGGATCACATTTCATTTTCCTTTTTAATTAACCTTAATAGTGTTACAAAATCACTGAAAATTAATGAGCTTGGTATCCAGCTTAAGAAACAGCAATTAAACAACAGAATATGGCCAAAGAAAATGGGTACCCCTGCATTTATTCTCCTCTCCTCCCCGAAAAGAGAAATACACAGCAGTCAATTCACCAACACGATATAAAAATTATAAATATTTATGCCCCAACAACATAGCTTCAAAATACATGAATTAATAATAGAGAACTGAAAAGAGAACTAGAAAAATCCACAGTTACATTTGGAGACTTCAGCACTCCTCTTAATAATTAACAGAAGAAGCAGGCAGAAAGTCAGGAAGGATATAGAAGCCTTGAACAATACTGTCAACCAACTTTACCTAATTAACATCTGTAGAACATGTTACCCAGCAACAGGAGACATGAAATAGTAACCCAGGTAGATCATAGTCTAGGTCTTTAAAATCCATTACAAATGTAAATAATTTGAAATCCTATAAAGTAGGATTTAAAGCAGAGCAATAAAGCAAGAAAAACAAAAGATTAGAAAAGAAGAAAGAAAACCTTTTTCTATTCTCAAAGTGATTATCAGTGTAAAAAATCTCAAAGAACCTAGCAAGATGCTACTGTAACTAGTAGGTGGAAGGATACTTACTCAATATACAAAAATCAATTCTATTTCTTACAGTGAACAATTGGAAATTAAACATTTCAAAAAGTATTAGTTTGCTGCAAACATAATTGTGGCTTTTACTGCAAATACTTTTGTAGCAACCTAATACCATATACAGCAGTACCAGAAATCCAAAATATACATGAGATCTTTACATGAAAGACTGATGAAAATGAAAAAGTGGAGACACATATTTCCTGATTTCAAAACTTACTGAAAACTATTGTAATTAAGATGGTGTGGTATTAGGGAAATGATGAAGACAGATTAATTGGACAGAATAGAGTTCAGAAGTAGACCCACATATATACGGGCAACTGATTTTTAAACAAAGGTGCCAGGGCAATTTAATAAGGAAATGGTAATGTGGAGTTCCAGAACAACTCCAGAGTTCTAGAACAAGTAGATCTAGAACAATTGGATATCCAAATGCAAAAATCCTAGACATATACCTCCAAGCTTATATAAAAATTATTTAAAAATTGATTATAGAACTAAGTAACTGTAAAATGTGAAACTTAACAAAAGAAAACAGAATATCTGCACGAGCTTGGGTTTGGTGTGTTCCCTGAAAGAAAATAGTGATAAATTAGACTTTACCAAAATTAAAAATTTTGCTCTGCAAAAGACAGCTTTAAGAGAACAAGATAAGCCACAGACTGGAAGAAACTATTTGCAAATCATAAATTTCATAAAAGATGTGAATCCAAAAGATATAAAGAACTCTCAAAACTCAGTAATTAGAAAACAGTTTTTTAAATGGGCAAAACATTTGAGTAGACAGTTCACCAAAGAAAAAGTGTGAATGGTAAATATAAGCACAGGAAAAAATATAGCTCATTAGTGAAATGAAATTTAAAACTACAATGAATACCATGATATGCCAAATAGAATTGGTCTAATTTAAAAAAATCAAGCAATACTAAGTGCTAGTGAGGATGCAGAGTGACTGAAAGTCTCATACAATAGTGGAGGAAATGCAAGTCATAGAGTCACTTTGAAAAGGAGTGTGGCAACTTCTTATAAAATGAAGCTTACACATGCTATGTGACACAGTGATACCTGTAACTAGTATTTATAGAATTGAAATAAAAGCATAAGTACACATAAAAATCTGTTCCTAAGTGTTTATAGTGTAGGCATTATTCATAATTGCCAAAAACTAGAAACAACCCAGATGTTCTTCAGTGTGTGATTGGATAAACAAATTGTGGTATAGTCATACAATGGAATATTACCTGGCAATAGAAAGGAATAAATTACTGGTACACCCATTAACATGTAAGGTTCTCAAATACATTATACTAAGTGAAAGAAGTCAGACTCAAAAGCACTATGGTGTATAATTCTATTTGTATGACAAATCTGTAGGTACAGAGTGATTGCTGGGAGCAGGAGAGGTGTTATAAAGGACAAGGGAAATATTTTTGGGTAATGGGAATGATCTGTGTTGATTGCAGGGTAATATCAAAAGTGAATTTGTCAAATGTTGCAGAACTATGATAAAAGGAAATATATTTTATTTAAAAACTTTTACTTTTTTAGGAAAAACTTAGTCCCTGAGTAAAAAGGGGATATATTTTACTGTGTGGAAATTATACCTTAAATTTTTTTCTTTTTTTTCTTTTCGCTTTTTTTTTTTTTTTTTTTTTTAATAGACAGGGTCTTGCTCTGTCACGCAGGCTGGAGTGCAGTAGTGTGATCATATCTCATTGCAACCTTGAACTCCTGGGCCTAAGTGATCCTCTTGCCTCAGTCTCCTAAGTAGCTGGGGTTACAGGTGCACATCACCATGCCCAGCTAATTTTTTACTTTTTTGTAGAGATAGAGGTCTTGCTGTGTTGCCTAGGCTGGTCTTGAACTCATGGCTCAAGCAGTCCTGTCACCTTGACCTCCCAAAGTGCTGGCATTATAGACATGAGCCACTTAATTTCTTTTTTTAATGGGGGGAGAAAGAAAGGGTAGATGGTAAGTAGCATAATGAGCCAAAATATTTAGTTTTCATAGTAAAAATGCAGTGGATTAAGTTTATATCAGGAACTTAAAGTATAAACATATAATTTAGAGTGACATAGACAACATCTTATGTAATAAAAAATGGAAATGGTTAAAGTAATTGCCTCTTGGAAACTAACCAAGCAGTGGGAAGAAATGTGATATGAGAACTGTTGATTTTAATAATAAGCCATAATGTACTTCAGTTTTTTTCCTTACATACATTACTTTGATTAAAAGTTAGAAAGAAAGTATAATGTTATTAATGAAGTTTAAGTTAAATGGTCGTGTGCCTAATGGATAGATGGTAATAGCAGTAGTACTAGATGACTGCAAGGTCTTTGGGTATGAAATTCTAACCCTAATCCCTCTGAGCTCCCAGTACCTAGCATAGTATCTGATCCATGTTAGGAACTGTGAAGGATCTGAGATTTTACCCTACTTGCAAGCTAAGAACTTAGCTGCCACACTTCTATGGATTCTGGCAGAAGACATGACAATTCCAGCAATAGCAGTATGTCAGCCTTTTCTTGCATTTGTTCCTTGAGCCCTACTTCCCACAGAGCAACATGAAGGCCAGGTACTACCTGCACATGCAGTGGCTTGCTTGTGTTGGAGGAGGGAAACCCTGAATTTAGGGAATCTGAACCTTTTATTATGGACAGTAAGTATGTCTACTCTTTTAATTTATTTTTAATTAATTAATTATTTTTTTTGAGACAGAGTTTTGCTCTTGTCACCCAGGCTGGAGTGCAATGGCGCGATCTCTGCTCACTGCAACCTCTGCCTCCTGGGTTCAAGCAATTCTCCTGCCATATGTCTGCTGTTTAATCCAGTGGAAGGAACCATTGTCTTCCAGGGCTGTTCATTATATCAGAGGTCCCCAACCCCTGGGCCACGGACTGGTACTTGTCCATGGCCTGTTAGGAACAGCAGGAGGTGAGCCAGGGCAAGCAAGCATTACTGTCTGAGCTCCACCTCCTGTCAGATCAGTGGCCATGTTACATGGTACTGGTCCATGGCCTGTTAGGAACAGCAGGAGGTGAGCCAGGGCAAGCAAGCATTACTGCCTGAGCCCCACCTCCTGTCAGATCAGTGGCCATGTTAGATTCTCATAGGAGCTCGAACCCTATTGTGAACTGTGCATGCGAGGGATCTAGGTTGTGTGCTACTTATGAGAATCGAACTAATAATGTCTGATGATCTGAGGTGGAACAGTTTCATCCTGAAACCACCTTTCCACCCTGGCCCGTGGAAAAATTGTCTTCTACGATACTGGTCCCTGGTTCCAAAAAGGTTGGAGACCATTGTATTATATGAACATCTTTGAAAAAATGGTCTGAAGTAAAGGCCGTTGTTGCCTCTATTTGCAAAATGTTCAGAAATTTAAGACTATTGGAAAGTTATTTCTCAGGAATACATAGCTGATGACCAGTGAATAATATATAGATATACAATCTATATTGGTCACTTCTTATTGGAACCTCAGCTTTTTCTCCTTAAAATATTGGTGTACGTTGGCTGGGTGTGGTGGCTCACACCTATAATCCCAGCACTTTGGGAGGCCGAGGCGGGCAGATCACAAGGTCAGGATATCGAGACCATCCTGGCTGACACGATGAAACCCCGTCTCTACTAATACAAAAAATTAGCCGGGCGTGCTAGCGGGCGCCTGTAGTCCCAGCTACTTGGGAGGCTGAGGTAGGAGAATGGTGTGAACCTGGGAGGTGGAGCTTGCAGTGAGCAGAGATCATGCCACTGCACTCCAGCCTGGGCAACAGAGCGAGACTCTGTCTCAAATATATATATGTGTGTGTGTGTGTGTGTGTATACATTTTAATCTCAATACTTTCATTAATTTCTTTTCAAAATTGGCAGTGAGTTAAAAAATCCTTTCAATGTTTTGTTAGTTTGGGTATCGTATCTATTATCAATAGTTTCTGCCTAAGTTAGATGTCTGAAGTTTCTAATTATTCTAAAAACACTTTTGTTTTTTAGCTTTTATTTTCCACTTCAGCTTTTCCTTTAAAAACCTGCAATTTTATGATAGAAATATTTATATTTTGAGATACAGAAATTTTAGAGCTGGGCGCGGTGGCTCATGCCTGAATCCCAGCACTTTGGGAAGCCAAGACCTATGGGTTGCTTGAGCCCAGGAGTTCGAGACCAGCCTGGGTAACTTGGCAAAACCCAGTCTCTACAAAAAAATATAAAAATTAGCCAGGCATGGAGGCATGCACCTGTAGTGTCAGCTATGCAGGAGGCTGAGGTGGGAGGATTGCTGGATTGCTTGAGCCCATGGGGACTGAGTGAGCCATGATCATGCCACTGCACTCCAGCCTGGGCCACAGAGTGAGACCCTGTCTCCAAAAAAAAAAAAAAAAAAAAAATTGAGAATATGTGTTCAAAATATTGACAGTAAAATCTCTTATTGGCCTTAAATGGTTTGTTTCTCAGAAGTTTTTTCTATTGTGGAAAGATGCACATGAAATTTTCAAATTGTACTTTGTTTCATGGGCTTATAATGGTGTGCTATGTCCTATTTTAATAGAAAAATTGGGGCTGGCCACAGTGGCTCACGCCTGTAATCCCAGCACTTTGGAAGGCCGAGGTGAGAGGATTGCTTGAAGCCAGGCGTTGGAGACCACCTTGTAGACCCTGCCTTTAAAAAAGTAATAAAAATAACAGTTGTGGTGGTGCACACCTGTAGTTCTAGCTGTTCGGGAGGCTGAAGCAGGAAGCTTGCTTGAGCCTAGTAATTGTTACAGTGAGCTATAATTGTGCCACTGTACTCCATCCTGGAAGACACAGCAAGACTCCATCTCTCCAAAAATTAACAAACAATAAATACATAAAGTTTATAGGAAAATTGTCTTTTTGTTATACTGAATCACTTGCGGCATATCCTTAGTTCTCACAGAACTTAATAAATAAACAATAATTGCTGCCTACAGACTAATCTAAAAGTGGTAGTTCATTGTAATATATGCCACAATGAAGTTAACGTCTTTTATTGTAATCTCTGAATGCTATTACTCCTTAATAGTTTTTTTTTCTTATTATGTAGTAATGAGGGGTGTGCTTGATCTGTCTCTGGAAATAGAACAATTTGAAGCCATGGTAGTTTGTTTTATTTTTGGCCTGCTTATGCAAAGCATTGTGATGGAGGCTTTACACAAATAAACTGTATCTCATTTGATTCCCACCACTACATTATCCCTATTTTATAGATGAGAAAGCTGAGGTTTGGAGAAGGCAAGAAACTGCTCAGAACCATAGAACTAATATATGATAAGGCCAGAATTCACACCTATGCCTGACAGTGAAGCTGAAGTTTCTTACAATACATTGTTCTGATTCTCTGTAGTATTTTTCTATTTTAAATCCAGTTGAAATTCTTTTTGGTTTCTTCTTTCATGGAAAGCCATCACTGTGAAGTGAATGGTAATTCTTATGTACCTAAACCTAAGAAAATGTATAATGCATTGTTGAAACACTGACAAATGTGAAATAAAGATGAGAATAATTCAGAAAATGTAAATTATATATGGTAACAGATTTTCAAAAGATCTGATTGCTTTTTTTATTGAGGTGAAAGTCACATAACATACAAATAACTATTTTAAAATGTACAATTCAGTGCATTTAGTACATTCACAATATTTTACAACTACTATTTCTATCAAGTTCCAAACCTTTTCATCACCCCCAAAGAAAACTTCATACCTATTAAACAATCACCTCCTGCTGCCCCTAGAAACTAATAATCTGCTTTCTATTTCTGTGGATTTACCTATTCTGAATATTTCATAAAATAGCATCATACACTGTCTGGCTTACTTCATATAGCATTTTTACAAAGTTCATTTGTGTTTTGTTCTTTTGAATGGCTGAATGATACTCCATTGTATGTCTGTACCACATTTTGTTTATCCATTCGTCCTTTGATGGACACCGGGTTGTTTCCACCAACTGGGTGACTTTAAAAATTTATCTCACAGTTTTGGAAGCCAGCAGTCAAGGTGCTGGCAGGTTAGTTCCTTCTGAGAGCTGTGAGGGAGAATCTGTTCCCACGTTTTCCCCAGCTTCTGGTGGTTTGTTGGCAATCTTTGACTTGTAGATGCATCACTCCAAACTCTATCTTTATTTTCACATGGCTTCCTCCCTGTACGTCTTCTCACCATCTTTGCTCTGTGCATTCTTTGTCTAGTTTCCTCTTTTTAGGAGGACACCAGTAATATTGGATTAGGGCTTACCTTAATGACCTCATTTTGATTACCTCTGTAAATACCCTATTTCCAAATAAGATCACATTTTTAAGTAGTGGGAGTTAGGACTTCAACATATCTTTATTTGAGGGACACAATTCATTTCATAACACCATCCTTTTAAGTATGCAGTGATATCTCATTGTGGTTTTGATTTGCATTTTTCTAATGAATAATGATGTTGAACATCTTTTTATATGCTTTTTGGCCATTTGTACATCTTCTTTGAAGAAATGTCTATCCAATTCCTTTGTCTATTTTTGAATTGGGTTGTCTTTTTGTTGAGTTTAAGAGTTCTTAATATATTTTGGATACAAGACTCTTATCAGATAGATACATGATTTGCAAATATGTTCTCCTATTCTGTAGATTTTCTTGTCAACAACTTCTTAATGTCTATCGGTGGACAAAAGATTTTAATTTTGATGAACTTTGTTTTCTTTTGTTACTTGTACTTTTAGTGTCATAATTATCTATATTCAAATTCAAGGTTGTGAATATTGACATCTATGGCCTTGTATAAAAGTATTATAGCTCTAGCTTTTATATTTAGGTCATTGGTCCCTTTTGAATTAATTTTTGTAGATGGTATGATGTAGGGGTTTATCTTCATTCTTTTGCTTGTGAATATCCAGTTTTCTAACACTATTTCTTGAAGAGACAATTTCCCCATTGATGGTCTTGCACCCTTGTCAAAACTCAATTGGACATAGATGTATGGGATAATTTCTGGAATCTCAATTTCTACTGTATTGGTCTATATGTCTGTCCTTATGCCAGCCAGTACCACACTGTTTTGATTTCTGTACCTTGTATTGAGTTTTGAAATCAGGAAGCATGGAATCTTCCAATTTTGTTCTTTTTCAATATTATTTTGGCTATCTGGAGCTCCTTGCAATTCCATATGAATTTGAGGATCAACTTTTTTATTTCTGCAAAAACAGCCATTAGAACTTTGATACGGATTGCACTGAATCTGTAGATTGTGTATAAAGAGGGATCATGGCAGATGGGAGGCAGGACTAGATTGCAACTCCTGACAGAGCAGCATGTGGAGGCTCAAATTGTGAATTTTAGCTCCAGATCGACTGCAAGAACAAACCAGCAATCCTGAGAGGACCCTCAGACTCTCTGAAGGAAGCGGACTGCTCCTGCAGGACCCAGGAGACACCCCAAATACTCTGGGAGGTGAAAGCCTCGGGCAAGTTTTCAAGCCCACCTTCCACCTGGAAACAGATCTGGGGCTGTTGTGGGGGGCATGGTGGGAGTGAGATCAACCCTTCAGTTTGCATGGGAGCTGGGTGAGGCCTGTGACTGCTGGCTTTCCCTCACTTCCTTGACAACCTGCATGACTCAGCAGAGGCAGCCATAATCCTCCTAGGTGCACAACTCCAGTGACCTGGGAATCTCACCCCGTCCCCCACAGCAGCCGCAGCAAGACCCACCCAAGGAGAGTCTGAGCTCAGACATGCCTAGCCCCGCCCCCCACCTGACAGTCCTTCCCTACCCACCCAGGTAGCAGAAGACAAAGGACATATAATCTTGGGAATTCTAGGGCCCCACCCACTGCTGATCCCTCTGCACTGCTACTGCTGATGCTCTCTGGAAAGCGCCACCTCTTGGCAGGAGGCCAACCAGCACAAAAATAGAACATTAAATAACCAAAACTAAGAACCGTCATAGAGTTCATTGCACCTTCTGCCGCCTCCAACGGAACAGGCGCTGGTATCCATGGTTGAGAGACCCATAGATGGTTCACATCACAGGACTGTGCAGAAACCCCCAGTACTAGCATGGTGCCAGGTAGACTCACTGGATGGTTAAACCCAGAAGAGAGACAACAATCATTGCAGTTCGGCTCACAGAAAGCCACAACCACAGGAAAAATGGAGAGTACTACATCAAGGGAACACCCTGTGCACTAGAATCTGAACAACAGCATTCAGCCCTAGACCTTCCCTCTGACAGAGCCTACCCAAACGTGATGGAACCAGAAAACCACCCCTGGTAAAATGACAAAACAAGGCTCATCAACACCCCCTAAAAATCATACTAGTTCACCAGCAATTGATCCAAACCAAGAAGAAATCCCTGATATAACTGAAAAAGGAATTCGATAGGTTAGTTATTAAGCTAATCAGGGAGAACCAGGGAAAGGCAAAGCCCAGTGCAAGGAAATTCAAAAAGTGACACAGGAAGTGAAGAGAGAAAGATTCAATGAAATAGATAGCTAAAAGAAAAAACAATACAAAATTCAGGAAACTTTGGATACACTTTTAGAAATGCAAAATGCTCTGGAAAGTCTCAGCAATAGAATTGAACAAGTAGAAGAAAGAAATTCAGAGCTTGAAGACAAGGTGTTCGAATTAACCCAATCCAACAAAGACAAAGAAAAAAGAATAAGAAAATATGAACAAAGCCCCTAAGAAGTTTGAGATTATGTTAAACTACCAAACCTAAGAATAATTGGTATTCCTGAGGAAGAAGATAATTCTAAAAGCTTGGAAAACATATTTGGGGGAATAATTGAGGAAAACTTCCCCAGCCTTGCTAGAGACCTAGACATGCAAATATAAGAAGCACAGGGCCAGGTGCGGTGGCTCACACCTGTAATCCCAGCACTTTGGGAGGCTGAGGCAGGTGGATCATGAGGTCAGGAGATTGAGACCATTCTGGCTAACACAGTGAAACCCCATCTCTACTAAAAATGCAAAAAATTAGCTGGGCGTGGTGGCACACACCGGTAGTCCCAGCTACTTGGGAGGCTGAGGCAGGAGAATCACTTGAACCTGGGAGGCTGAGGTTGCAGTGAGCCAAGATCATGCCACTACACTCCAACTTGGGTGACAGAGTGAGACTCCATCAAAAAAAAAAAACAAAGAACACCCAAGAAATTCATTACAAAAAGATCTTCGCCTAGGCACATTGTCATCAGGTTATCCAAAGTTGAGATGAAAGAACGAATCTTAAGAGCTGTGAGACAGAAGCACCAGGTAACCTATAAAGGAAAACCTAACAGATTAACAACAGATTTCTCAGCAGAAACCCTACAAGCTAGAAGGGATTAGGGCCCTATCTACAGCCTCCTCAAACAAAACAAACATCAGCCAAGAATTTTGTATCCAGTGAAACTAAGCACCACATATGAAGGAAAGATAACAGTCGTTTTCAGACAAACAAATGCTGAGAGAATTCGACATTACTAAGCCACCACTAGAAGAACTGCTAAAAGGAGCTCTAAATCTTGAAACAAATCCAGGAAACACATCAAAACAGAATATCTTTAAAGCATAAATCTCACAGGACCTGTAAAATAAAAATACAAGTTAAAAAACAAAAACAAAAAACCAAAGTATGCAGGCAACCAAGAGCATGATGAATGCAAAGGTACCTCACATTTCAATACTAACATTGAATGTAAATGGCCTAAATGCTCCACTTAAAAGGTACAGAACTGCAGAATGCATAAGAACTCATCAACCAACAATCTGCTGCCTTCAGGAGACTAACCTAACACATAAAGACTCACATAAACTTAAAGTAAAGTGTGGAAAAGGCATTTCATGCAAATGGACACTGAAAGCAAGCAGGGGTAGCTGTTCTTATATCAGATGAAACAAACTTTAAAGCAACAGCATTACAGGCAGGAGCTGCCATGCCAGGCATTTTGCTCACTGCTTTCAATGATGTCATGTCTTTTTTGTCCCTCAGTTTCTCCATTAGTACCTTCTTTTGCATTAAATTTTTTTTTGGTAGTGTACTTAGTCTGTTTTGTGCTGCTGTAACAGGATACCACAGACCAGCTAATTTATAAATGAAAGAAATTTATTTCTCACAGTTATAGAGGCTGAGAAGTCCAAGGTTGAGGAGCCTATTTCTGATCTGATGAAGACTTTCTTGTTCAATCTTCACATTGCAGAAGGACAAGAGAACAAGCTAGCCAAATGCCATCTGAAGCTGCTGCTGCTTTTTTTCTTTATAAGGGCCTTAGTTCTATTAATGAGGAATGAGCCCTCATGGCCTCATCATGTCTTAAAGGTTCCACCTCTTAATACTAGCAGATTTGCAGCACCTGAACTTTGGAGGGGACACATTCAGACCACAGTACCATAGTACCATTTTTATTCCCATCACTTTTTTTTTTTGATGTATTTTTTTCTCATTATTTGCTTAGTCGTTATCCTGGAGACTGTAACCTTTTATATGTATAACAATTTTTAATATCAACTTAGCATCTATTATATACCAAAACTCCACTTCTGTATAGCTCTGTCCCTCCCCCTTATATTGTTGTCACAAGTTACATCTTCATACATTGTGTGCCCATTAACTTATAATTACTGTTTTATGCATCGTCTTTTAAATCATTTGAGAAAAAAGAAGAGTTACAAATCAAAAACACAATAATACTGGATTTTTAATACCTATATAGTTACCTTAGCTCGTGTTCATTCTTTTTGAATGGCTTTGAGTTACTTTGTAGTGATCTTTTCTTTCTGCCTGAAGGATTTACTCTAGCATTTCTTGTTGGGCAGGTCTACTAACAACAGACTCCCTCAGCATTTGTTTATCTGGGAATGTCTTACTTTTTCCTTATGAATCTTGGTTGACATTTTTGTTTTCTTTCTTTCTTTTTTGAGATGGAGTCTCACTCTGTCACCCAGGCTGGAGTGCAGTGGCACGGTCTCAGCTCACTGCAACCTCTGCCTCCTGGGTTCAAGCAATTTTCCTGCCTAAGCCTCCCAAGTAGCTGGGATTACAGCCAGTTTGTGTTAGCTCCAGTATACCACTGGCTATAGTAAAATGTACACCAAGTTTCACAGAGTAATAATAGTATCAAAAAAAAGCATTACAAAATATCTCAGTAATATTTTATATTGATTACATTTTGAAATGACAATATTTTAGATATATTGCTTTGAATAAAATATATTACTGAAAATAATTGCTTATTTTTACTGTTTTAATTGTGGTTATAGAAAATCTAAAATTACAGATATGTCATATTTCTGTTGAGAGCACTGCTTTAAGTGTCGAGCACTTGAGAATGTTGAGTATTCGAGTGATTAGGTTCTGTTTCTACAGTGTATTTTAATGTTTGCTTCTGCTGTACAATTGTGTTAGACCTATTACAACCAATACTTACTTTTACATGTTGGCCCATAAGTAAGTATACATAAGGCTATTCATTTTTCAAGATTTTGATTGAAATGATACATTATTTACAAATGTATTTCTGCACTAATGTTTTTAAAACTGTCTTTTTATTTCTCATTTTAGTTTTTTTAATAGAGGAAGGAAATGTGTTTTAGAATTTTCACTCAACTATTAATGATTTTTAAAACAAATCTAATTGGTGCTTCTAAGAAACTTAAGAGTGAATTAAAGCCATGAAATATGAAAAAATGTATGCTCTTATTGCTTTTTGAGAGGTTGGTTAACCTCTGTTTTTCACAGTCAAAAATTCTCAAGAAGTTAGTGACTATATTAAATCTAAAACTGGCAAATGCCTTTTAATGAAGAAATCTTTCAAAGGGGACAGTTTAAAAGACTTAAAAGTAACTCTTTGTCAAGAAGTTTTTATGATAAAGATAAATTTCAATGACTCTTTATTTAATGTTCCTAAAAATCTGAGCTACCTAAAAACTCCTATGATTTTCTTAGGTAAGGGGGACTTACCAGTGGATGATAGTATTCAGGCTGTCTATTACTTTATGGAAAGTAACTGCTTTTAAGGGGAGCTTTTGTATCTATTTCGTCTTCAGGAGTATCTCTTCTGATTTTTGAGAACGGTAGTTTGATTGCTGCACTTAGCTTTGCTTTTCTTAGTGTTGTAGTTGAAGATGTGTAACGTTCTTGGTAAAACTCAGAACTGCATTAAGGAAAAGATGGGAAGTTGAGCATTAGAATTGGTGTCACCAGGCCATGGTTGTACTTTTGGCTTTAATACTTGATTTCTGTGTATATCCTTCCTTTCTTATAGGCTGAAGATAAATGGTTGCTTGAAGATTTAATGTTCAAGGTGGTTCAAAGAAAAATCACTTTGAAAGTCAAGTAACATATGTCATTGTTAGCTAAGCCTATTAATTAAAACTTATATTCATTAAAATTGCATTCAAATGGAAAACATCCTTTCTTAAAATTTAATACTCTGTTCATATAGTTACACATCTTTCTATATTTATTATGTATTCATTACATGAAAAACTACTGATACCTATGGAAGAATTTTATTCAGTCACATATGATACTGTCACTTAGGATATTTTTGTAAAGTCAAACCTAACTACCTATAGTCATAAAACTATTCTAACTTAGTTCTATTTCTTGATCAGTTTTATAGAGTATACTCCCAGAGGCATCCCAGCTTCTTTTGAAGAAGTAAGCTTAAGGTACCCAGAAGGTTAAGTAAATTTATTTCATAAAGCAAGTAGTTTAGATTTTTAGACTGGGTAGCTTTAAGTCATTTCATTCTTCTTGGTGGTGTTTACCATCAATTTGCAATGTATTTCTTGTTAAAGTTTCTATCTCTGAATTTATATGATTATTTTTACTTCTTAATTCTTAAGTGACAGATTTTAACATTAGCTTCTGTTTTCAATAGCATATCCAGGAGATATGATACATCTTTTAATAAACAATCTAAAGTAATTATTAAATTAGTACATGATACATCTTTTAATAAGCATAATCTTCTAAAGTAATTATATAATCAGTATAAATATCTTTCATTATTTTCATAAAGATCATAGAGCATAGTGATTCTGAATTGGCTTGCTTTTATATTAGGCCAAAAAATAGAATACTCAAAGCACAGTAATAATTAGTAACTGAACCATGGAACTGAGGTTTGACAATACATTTCTCCGTATCTCTAAGCAGGCTTTACATGTGTCTTCTCGTTTGTCCTACCTTCCCCCTCATTATCTTTCCTCTCTTCTTCCTTCTCTTTCCTTCCCTCCTTGCTTTCTAAGTTTACTTAGTTGTTAATGTTCCCTAAGAGCTTAAATTCTTTAATCCAAAATGTTGGTATTAATGTGCACTAAGAAAATCAGTATTTTGGGTAGCAGTTTAAATTGCTTCTCAACAATCCTTTTATTGGTACCTAACTACAATAGAGTATGATAAGTGCTTTAATAATTAACTATTATAAAGTATGCTAAATGCTTTTATAAAAATATATTCAAAGTGCCAGAGGGGAAAGATCTTCTGTTGAAGAGGGAGCAGAAGAGAATGCTTCATATAAGAAGTGACATTTTAATTGGGTTTGAAAGTTGAGTAGGAGTTTCCCCTGTGCCTGATGTAAGGCAGATTAGGCAAAAGGAGCAGCATTCATTCAACATCAACAAATAATAATTGCGTGAGGATTGTATTCCATTTACTGTTCAAGACATTGGGAATATAATGATGACTAAAACTAGTGAGACTTCTACCTTCATGGAGCTGATATTCCAGTGGGGAGACAGACTGTATTAGTCTGTTTTCATGCTGCTGATAAAGACATGCCCAAGACTTGGTACTTTATAAGGAAAAAAAGGTTTAATGGACTCACAGTTCCATGTGGCATAGGAGCCCTCACAATCATGGTGGAAGGTGAGAGGCACGTCTTACATAGCAGCAGACAAGAGAGACAATGAGATCCAAGTGAAAGGGGTTTCCCCTACAAAACCATCATCAGATCTCGTGAGACTTACTCACTACCACGCGAACAGTATGGGGGAAACTGCCCACATGATTCAATTATCTCCCACCAGGTCCCTCCCATGACATGTGGGAATTATGGGAGCTACAGTTCAAGATGAGATTTGGGTGAGGATAGAGCCAAACCATATATCGCAGATAAACAAGTAAGTGTAGTGAAATAAAACTATGGCAGGATAAGAGAGAAGAATGAGACTTGTGGAGGTGACTCTATTAATTTAAATAAGGTTGTTTGGTGTGTTTTGAGGAACCCTAGTCCTGAGAGATCTATGAAAAATGGATTCTGGGGACAAATTAGTTTGAGAAACGTTACCCTATTAAGTTCTGCCGTGAAGAAACTTAGGTAATTGTGGATTAAAGCCAGTTAAACAAGTTATTAGACAAGAAAACCCCCGATCATCACTAGGATTTTGTGAGCTAAAGTTCCAAAGAGCACATTGCAGGAGAAGCTGGACCAGAGTATGAGGATCCAGTGGCCAGGTAGGACAGGGTAGGAGCCTTTGAATCATGATGAAAAGTTTGTGCCCCAGCCATGCCAGGATTAGATTTGGCCTTTAGAAAAGGTACTCTTGTGGCAATGTGGCAGCTATCTTGAGTGAAGAAAGTATAAATCAAGAAGCTTTCCAATAAAAAAGAGAATGATAAAGACTTCAAAAATGGAGAGAAAAGGGTAGATTTTAATGACATTTGGAGGTAGAATTGACTCAGATAACTTTGTTTATAGATAATAAAGAGTCAGAAAAATTCTTGACATATAATGTTTTAAAGAAATGAAAGTACATCTTCAAGAGAGGGAAACTTGGCCCTGATCTGCCAGTAAGTGAAGGTCACAGCAAGGCAGCAGCAGGCTAAGCTGTGCTGAGTGTGTGAGAAATGGGAGCAAAGTCGTATGTTCAAAAATGTGCAAGACTTGGCATCTCCACCACATTTTTCTTTCACCTTTGAAATATGGGAAGGTTAGAAATGGAGTGGAAAAATATCAGCCCAGTCTAGTTTTGAAAGATTGAGTTTTTTAGGAAGAAGCAAGCTTGTTATCACTTTCAAATAAGACAAAACTTGACCTTGAATTAGATTAGCCACATATCTAATTGGTGAGTGCAGCGTACCTAGCTGTACAGCGCTCTGCTCACCAAAGCCAAAGATGGGCAGGTGGCTGCATTCTGCTGCCAGGTAATCATCTGAACCTCGTTGGCAGGCATTGAAGCAAAAGAGAGAGAGGAATTTGCAGCTGGCTAGAAATATTAAGAGAATTAGCAAGAGGGAGGAAGTGTGGCTCAAAGTTATAAAATGTTGTGTGTGTATAAAAAGAGGAGAGTTCTATTTTTGTATATGTGTGTGTTATAAATAGACATACCTATAGCATTTCCCACCAGTGTTCTGTATCATCTATGTTCCATCACTGATTAAATCAGAAAAATATCACCTTATTTGCTTTTTGCTCCTCAACTGCAAAGATGTCTTTGGTGAGGTGCTTTACTAGAATTCTCTTACAGAAAAAAAAAATCAGTAATTCATCTTGAGGATGAAATAGTAGATGAAGTATAATTAATGCTTTTAGCAAACTTAGCAAATACAAATATGAACTTTTTGTGAAGATGAAAACTGCATTGCTTTTTTTTTTTTTTTTTTTTTTAAGACAGTGTCTCATTCTGTCACCCAGGCTGGAGTGCAGTGGCATGGTCAGGACTCACTGCAGCCTCGACCTCCCCTACTCAAGCGAAGCTCCCGCCTCAACACCCCAAGTAGCAGGGACTACAGGCATGTGCCACCATGCCTGGCTAATTTTTCATATTTTTATTAGAGACAGGGTTTCTCCGTGTTGCCTAGGCTGGTCTTGAACTCCTGGACTTAAGCAATCCACCTGCCCTGGCCTCCCAAAGTGCTGGGATTACAGGTGTGAGCCACCACACTCAGCCTATTTTTAAAATCCGTAATATTCTTACTGGTGGACTTTATTCAACTGATAGAGAATAGTTAAAAATAAAGAGAGGCCAGGCATGGTGGCTCACACCTCTAATCCTAGCACTTTTGGAGACCGAGGCTGGTAGGTTGCTTGAGGCCAGGAGTTTAAGAACAGTCTGGCCAACATGGCAAAACCCCATCTCTATTAAAAATTCAAAAATTAGCTGGGTGTTATGGTGTGCATCTCTAATCCTGGCTACTTGAGAGCTGAGGCAGGAGAATCACTTGAACCCGGGAGGTGGAGGTTGTAGTGAGCCGAGATTGCACCACTGCCCTCTAGCCTGGGTGACAGAGTGAGACTCTGTCTCCAGAAAAAAAAAAAAAAAAAAAAAAAGTTTAAAAATATATAGAGTTTAAAAATACGAATTACCAAAATATGGTAGTTTGATGTCACTACTACTCACTTTTTCTTTCTTTCTTTTTTTTCTTTTCACATTCAGGGACCTCATTATCTTTATTATGTAATTTTACAATAAATTATGGTTCTATTGTACTTAAGCATTTATACAAACATTAGCTCCCTTAATCATCATAGTTGTAAATGGGACAAATCTTTTTTTTTTTTTTTTTTGTGGTTTTTTTTTTTTTTTTAATACTTTAAGTTTTAGGGTACATGTGCACATTGTGCAGGTTAGTTACATATGTATACATGTGCCATGCTGGTGCGCTGCACCCACTAACTCGTCATCTAGCATTAGGTATATCTCCCAATGCTATCCCTCCCCCCTCCTCCCACCCCACCACAGTCCCCAGAGTGTGATATTCCCCTTCCTGTGCCCATGTGATCTCATTGTTCAGTTCCCACCTATGAGTGAGAATATGCAGTGTTTGGTTTTTTGTTCTTGCGATAGTTTACTGAGAATGATGGTTTCCAATTTCATCCATGTCCCTACAAAGGACATGAACTCATCATTTTTTATGGCTGCATAGTATTCCATGGTGTATATGTGAGACATTTTCTTAATCCAGTCTATCATTGTTGGACATTTGGGTTGGTTCCAAGTCTTTGCTATTGTGAATAATGCCGCAATAAACATACGTGTGCATGTGTCTTTATAGCAGCATGATTTATAGTCATTTGGGTATATACCCAGTAATGGGATGGCTGGATCAAATGGTATTTCTAGTTCTAGATCCCTGAGGAATCGCCACACTGACTTCCACAATGGTTGAACTAGTTTACAGTCCCACCAACAGTGTAAGAGTGTTCCTATTTCTCCACATCCTCTCCAGCACCTGTTGTTTCCTGACTTTTTAATGATTGCCATTCTAACTGGTGTGAGATGATATCTCATAGTGGTTTTGATTTGCATTTCTCTGATGGCCAGTGATGATGAGCATTTTTTCATGTATTTTTTGGCTGCATAAATGTCTTCTTTTGAGAAGTGTCTGTTCATGTCCTTCGCCCACTTTTTGATGGGGTTGTTTGTTTTTTTCTTGTAAATTTGTTTGAGTTCATTGTAGATTCTGGATATTAGCCCTTTGTCAGATGAGTAGGTTGCAAAAATTTTCTCCCATGTTTTAGGTTGCCTGTTCACTCTGATGGTAGATTCTTTTGCTGTGCAGAAGCTCTTTAGTTTAATTAGATCCCATTTGTCAATTTTGTCTTTTGTTGCCATTGCTTTTGGTGTTTTGGACATGAAGTCCTTGCCCACGCCTATGTCCTGAATGGTAATGCCTAGGTTTTCTTCTAGGATTTTTATGGTTTTAGGTCTAACGTTTAAATCTTTAATCCATCTTGAATTGATTTTTGTATAAGGTGTAAGGAAGGGATCCAGTTTCAGCTTTCTACATATGGCTAGCCAGTTTTCCCAGCACCATTTATTAAATAGGGAATCCTTTCCCCATTGCTTGTTTTTCTCAGGTTTGTCAAAGATCAGATAATTGTAGGTATGCGGCGTTATTTCTGAGGGCTCTCCAATCAATAGAAAAAGAGGGAATCCTCCCTAACTCATTTTATGAGGCCAGCATCATTCTGATACCAAAGCTGGGCAGAGACACAACCAAAAAAGAGAATTTTAGACACATTACCTTGATGAACATTGATGCAAAAATCCTCAATAAAATACTGGCAAACCGAATCCAGCAGCACATCAAAAAGCTTATCCACCATGATCAAGTGGGCTTCATCCCTGGGATGCAAGGCTGGTTCAATATATGCAAATCAATAAATGTAATCCAGCATATAAACAGAGCCAAAGACAAAAACCACATGATTATCTCAATAGATGCAGAAAAAGCCTTTGACAAAATTCAACAACCCTTCATGCTAAAAACTCTCAAGAAATTAGGTATTGATGGGACGTATTTCAAAATCATAAGAGCTATCTATGACAAACCCACAGCCAATATCATACTGAATGGGCAAAAACTGGAAGCATTCCCTTTGAAAACTGGCACAAGACAGGGATGCCCTCTCTCACCACTCCTATTCCACACAGTGTTGGTAGTTCTGGCCGGGGCAATCAGGCAGGAGAAGGAAATAAAGGGTATTCAGTTAGGAAAAGAGGAAGTCAAATTGTCCCTGTTTGCAGACGACATGATTGTTTATCTAGAAAACCCCACTGTCTCAGCCCAAAATCTCCTTAAGCTGATAAGCAACTTCAGCAAAGTCTCAGGATACAAAATCAATGTACAAAAATCACAAGCATTCTTATACACCAACAACAGACAAACAGAGAGCCAAATCATGAGTGAACTCCCATTCACAATTGCTTCAAAGAGAATAAAATACCTAGGAATCCAACTTACAAGGGATGTGAAGGACCTCTTCAAGGAGAACTACAAACCACTGCTCAAGGAAATAAAAGAGGATACAAACAAATGGAAGAACATTCCATGCTCGTGGGTAGGAAGAATCAATATCGTGAAAATGGCCATACTGCCCAAGGTAATTTACAGATTCAATGCCATCCCCATCAAGCTACCAATGACTTTCTTCACAGAATTGGAAAAAACTACTTTAAAGTTCATATGGAACCAAAAAAGAGCCCGCATCACCAAGTCAATCCTAAGCCAAAAGAACAAAGCTGGAGGCATCACACTACCTGACTTCAAACTATACTACAAGGCTACAGTAACCAAAACAGCATGGTACTGGTAGCAAAACAGAGATATAGATCAATGGAACTCACTTTTTCTTTCTTTGTTTTGTTTTTTTCTGAGACAGTCTTGCTCTGTCACTCAGGCTGGAGTGTAGTGTTGCAATCTTGGCTCACTGTAACCTCCACATCCTGGGTTCAAGCGATTCTCCTGCCTCAGCCTCCTGAGTAGCTGGGATTACAGACACGCACCACCACACCCAGCTAATTTTTGCATTTTTAGTAGACATGGGGTTTCCCCATGTTGGCCAGGCTGGTCTTGAACTCCTGACCTCATGATCCACCTGCCTTGGACTCCCAAAGTGCTGGGATTACAGGCGTGAGCCACCGTGCCCATCCACTACTCACTTTTTCTTAGCCTTTTGATTACTGATGAACTGGATTAGAACAGTAAGTGGATTGTTACACTTGACATTTTGTACTTTATCTGGAAATACTGGCATTAAAAACTAAGTCATATTGCCATTTGTATAATATTCTTAGATCTTTATATGAGTTTTTTCTTCAAATAAAAATTGTGTTTTTAAATGTCTTTGATATGATTGTTCAAATTGTTTGATATTTTTCTAAAACAGATTTAGGAAACTTCTGGCCCCACCATCAGAATGGACCCTTGATTTGGTTTCCTCTGACCTTTGGAAAACTGTTCTTTGGTATTATTGCAATATGCAAGAGGACCTCATAAGGTGCTCTGGTTCTTTCAGAATGGAACATGAAAACTGGAGAGTTACTGTCAATGCTCATTGAAACATCTTTTGTGAGCTGTGGGTTAGACTTTGATGCTTGCAAACCACATAAATAGCAAGCCATGGACTCCATTTACTTATCCCATTTCTCTGGCTTTCCACATTTTTCTTCCTATTCTTGTTTTTTGTCTCTTCATTATATTTCTTCCTCTTGATGGGTTTCCACCTCTATGTAGTATGTGTTTTCCTGACCTATTCTATTTCTGACCCTCACTCTGGGCAGTCCTGGCCTGCCATCTTGGGAAGCTATCTTTTTAGGAGCCAAGACCAGCTTGTGAGGATGGAGGTCTGGGCTTTCAGAAGCTATGCTGCAGAAACAAACACAGGCAAAAAGTACTCTTGCCTAACAACACCTTCATTACTTTGTGGAGTATTTCAGTTTTTTAATACGTTTTTTAAAATTTTTATTTTAGATTCAGGGGGGCACATGTGCAGGTTTATTATATGGGTATATTGCATGATGCTGAGGCTTGGGCTTCTAATGATCCCATTGCCCAAGTAGTGAACATAGTACCTGATAGGTAGTTTTTCAACTCTTGTCTCCCTCCCCCCAGTTTTAGAATCCCCAGTGTTTATTGTTGCCTTTTTTGTGTCCATGTATAACCAATGTTTAGCTCCCACTTTAAGTGAGAACATGTGGTATTTGATTTTCTTTCTGCATTAATTTGCTTAGGATAATGGCCTTCAGCTGCATCTGTGTTGCCATAAAGGACATGATTTTGTTCTTTTTTTGTGGCTGCATAGTACTCCATGGTGTATAAGTATCTTGTGGAAATTTGACCCTAAGTTCTGTTTCACGCAGTGTACCTTAGGCATCTGTTCTTGGATTTTGGTGTTTGCCAGGTTTTTAATTTTGATCCTATATCATAAGTTGAATTTTAGTGTCTTGGTCATACCTTAATGCTTCATTTCCTTCACCTGATTTTTAGTTTGTATTTCCTGCCTTGGAGTCATCAAACCCCCTCAGCAAGTTATATTAGTATCAACATCAAAATAGAGTGACCTGCAGAATATCTTAATACAGTGCTTAGTGGTGATGTTCATATTGGAAAAATTTAACAAAACAAAGTGCAGAAGAAGTCTCAGGTTGCAGTCCATATACAAATTCTAGAACATCAGAATCACTTGGGAAGATTTTGACGTCAGCAAAGTGTGCATCTAAGAAGTCCTAACTCTAAGAGACAAGAGGTATCATACTCCTGTTTCTACACAGAAAATATCTGTTTGTTAATCATATTGTTTAGTGGCTACTACGTGATATTTTGGGTATTTTACATTTATTTTATATGATAGGTTTGTTTTTCATATTGGCATTTTCCCGAGTTTTAGAACTAGTTATTTAGGAAATCAGTTGGCAGGGGAAGGGGTTGAGTGGTAGCTCATGCATTATTTTAAGACATTGGAGGACAGGTTCCTCTTGAGTGTTTTCATGGAGAACATCTGATTTTAGAAATATTTTATAGCCATTAAGTGGGAAATGCTCCTGTCTCCAAATCTGACCACTTACCATCGCCACTGATATTGCCACCGTGGTCCATGGATCTACCATCTATTCCCTGAATTCGTGTAATGAGCTCCCTGTTTCTACCTCTGTCCTTTCCAATCTGTTCCCAGCACAGCAGGCAAAAATGATCCCTCTGTAAATGTCAGTTCACTTTAGTCCTGCACATAGAATATTGTATTATCTCCCCATTTTACTCAGAGAAAAAGTCAAACTTCATTCCTTGGTCCATCTTTTCTTTTCCTATATCTCTGTAATATAGATCATAATCTGAAATGAAACTATATATTCATTAGTTGGATTTTTTGGAGTAATGTTTTATATTTTCTACCTTAATTTTAAAAGCATGTAAGTTATCTTCCTTTAAAAGAAAGATTATTAATTTGTATGTGATTTTTAAAATTCTTTCTGCGGTTAATGGCCCTCACCCTCAGGAGACAGATACTCCAATTTTAATATATTTCCTCATTTCTGAAGTGAAGATAAAAGTATCTACCAATAATACTTGTTTACCTCAAAAACCTCTATTGCCTTTTTTTCTCATCACACCTTTACTTATTTATAGAAACCTTCACTTATCTTAAATATGCTGGGACATGATTAAAGTTCTTTAAGCTATCCTGATCATAGTTGAATGACTTGTTTATAGATTTCAAGCAGATTTTAAATAAAAATTCATCCTAATAAAATAAAACAAAAATAAAAGTAAATTATTTTTGTTTAGGAAGAGCCCTCTCTGCGAGTTGGGTCAGGTCAGGGGAAGATTGTAGTGTGATTAATTTAAATTTAATTTTTTATGGACCCTAAAAATTGAACCTAAAATTTGCAATACATCTGTTTTTCTCACATTCTGTGGCTTTTATGTCAGTTTTCTTTAGTAAGTTTTTTACACGTGTGGATTACCCAAATAAATTTTTTATTAATATGATTTATTATTTCTTTATAGCACGTTTCCCAAACATATACATACTAGATTGTATGTATGTATGTATATCATGTTACATATTTACTTTTTATATGGTTGAGCTTTTTTATTTCTGTGAATCCATTTCCTCTTCAGGTAATTTATGGGATCATCTAAAGCTTAAATTTATGTTTGAAGTCTTTACTTCTCCAAAATTCTAACTCAGATATTAATATATGATTATAGATGTTTGTCAGTAATTATTTGCAAGTTTATCTCATCACAATTTGAAAATCTTTGTGAAGAGCATCAGACAACATGAACTCAGTGTTAGCGTTACTTGGAAAACTTGCAGAATAAATTTAAAAATGAAGAAAGTCTCATTTCAAACTGATTTTTCATATTTTGCTCTAATAATTCAAGAAAAGTAGACAGGCCAGATAGGCAGACTGGCAGAAACCTGGCCTCTGTGGTTGGCTGGAATTTACACAGGTCTTTCATATATGATTAAATAAAAGGTGACACGAAATTCAGAAATGTAATCTATAAGACAATCAGAGAAAAACAATTTTTGAAGCACATTCTTGTCAGTATTGTATAATGCCTGTCCTGTAACTGTAATTTTTTTTGTGTATCTGTCAAATGACATTAAGCTATACTCAATAATGAAGATAGCAAGAATTTGAGACCCCATGTTCATTTCTTTTTGTGACAGGAAGATCAGCCTTTTAAAAAATAAAAGAGGAATAGAAATTAACATTTCTCCAGAATTATGTTTCCATTCATTTGAGGTTATCTCTTAATTCCAGCATTTTACTGCATTTGATAAATAGGCCAAATATGTGTTTTATTTATTTGAGGGCTTGGGGGAAGCAATGAAACTTTACAAATTTCAACTGGCATTGCAGTCTGCTGATAAGGATGGGAGTTTGCACCGCTCTGAAGAGATTACATGAAGTAGAATTGGAAAGCAAATTGTATTTACGAAAGATAGGATGATGTTCCTAATAGGTGTTCAGAATAGGCTATTCACTCTCATATTCTGCTGAGCTTTGCTAGAAATAACTTCATTTCAAAAAGGACAAATCTGACTGAAGGTAAAAGCATTCCCTCTTCACAGATACTTGTCCAAAAGGGTTTACATTAAATTTTCCTGATGGGCACACAGCAGTATTTTATGCTGTATCTGTATAAACCATTAATGTGGAAAATACATATCTAAATAGTACACTTGATTGCTTCATGCACCAACCATTAGATTACTAGATTTCTATCTACAGTTTTCGGAGAGATGTTGCAATATGATGTTCTGACAATAACTGTCAAAGTCATCATACCAGGATCCATTTTCATCTTGTTGTTGAGGTAAAGTTATTAAAATGTACAGTTGGTAGGCCAGAAAGATCACTATCTCTTGTCATCTGTGGTTTAATGCTGACCTAAACCACTACTGTATAATGTCAGAATTATCACAGTGTCCAGGCTGCAGAAGTACAACATGCTACATGATTTATTGCATTTCCTGTCTGGAATGAAGATTATGAAAAGGCCAACAGCTGTGAGCTACAGTGGTTTAGAAGAAAACTTAATTTCTAATTTTTATTTGTCTTTTTCCTCATTCATTTTAGATTTTGGATTTAGTAAAGGGGACACATTACCAGGTAGCCTGTCAAAAATACTTTGAGATGATACACAATGTAAGTATTTTTTTAACTTTATATCCTAATTATTTGTCTTTTGTTACTGTGTCACATTCAGGGTTTTTAGTTGCAGCAATGGAAACCACTCTAGCTATTTTCAGCAGAAAAGGGGATTGCATGGTATTAAGTAACCTACAGCATTTATTGAATGACCAGACAAACTAAGCTTGGATGCTGCAGAACCAGGAATATTTTGTAACTAGGAGAAGCTACATCATGAGAAAATCTTTACTACAGCTGTCACCCACCACTCCATATCTAGGGATGAGACCAAGGGTCAATAAAGTTTTTCTGTAAAGAGCCAGAGTGTAAAAATTGTAGGCTTCATGGTCCATATGGTCTGCGTCACAGCTACTCAACTCTACTGTTGTAGTGCAAAAGCAGCTGTAGAAAATATGCAAATGACAGGTATGACTGTTGATCCAATAGAACTCTATTGATAAAATTAGGTAGTAGACCCAGTTTGACCCACGGGCCTTGATTTGCCAACCTCTAGACTAGATCTAGAATCTTTGCCACAGCTGCCTAGAAGAACCAAGGCTTTTGCCATCTTCCATGCAGAAAATCTGATCCTTGTACTTGTGGCTGCCACCTGATCTAACTGTAATCCACTTCCCAAGTCTCATACTTATCTGCATGGCAAAACCTAGATTGCATGTGGACCCCTAACTGTACACGAGTCAGGGAAATGTGTTTGGTTTTTATCTTGCCAGCTTCCTTAGTACAAAAAAGCCTGCTTGATTATTAGAGTAAGAGTGGAAAGACCCAGTCTGGCACAGAATGGATTTTGAAGTGTGTAAAGCCAATGTCACAAACTCAGAGGCCTACAGAGATTGGGCATATAGCCCAAAAAAGTGAAGCTGCCTGAGATTAGTACCACAGAGTATGGCAGAATTATGGTGCACTAAACATGTTTGCCCTATTAGAGGCATTCACATTGACAAATTGTGAGGCCCTCTGCAGGCCAACAAAACACATCTCCAAGTCCAATTCAATCCTCTGGACCCTAGTTTGCATCCACTGATCCTGAGCCTGAATTTCTAACCTGGGAAAGACATCCAAGAACAGACTTTGGAGATCCTTGTACTTCTTGAAACATTTTGTCTCTAAGTACATATGTGTATTTTTCCAGAGTCCATGTTACTTATTAAAGATCCATGCCCTCTCAAAAAGGAAGTTGCATTTGTTGAAATCATCATCAGCTACCATGCTAAAGTTTTACAATTATTTTTATGTTTTTTATTTGGTTGTTACAAAGTAGTTTTTCTATTATGGTTATATAATTGCAGAATTTCTTACTTGATAAAATATCTCATAGGAAAAAGATATTTTATAATATTACCAATAATAATTAAAATAATAATAGTAATACCAGCCAATATCTATGGAACCCTTAATGCAGCAGTCCCCAACCTTTTTGGCACCAGGGACCAGTTTCATGGAAGACAATTTTTCCATGGTTAAACAGGGGCTGGTGGGAGGGCACATTAGATAATCATGAGAAGCACGCAACCTAGATCCCTTGCATGTGGGGTTCACAATAGGGTTCACACCCCCATGAGAATCTAAGGCCACTGCTGATCTGACAGGAGGTGGAACTCAGGCAGTGATGCAAGTGATGGGGAGTGGCTGTAAATACAGATGAAGCTCCACTCACTCACCCACTGCTCACCTCCTGCTGTGAGGCCCAATTCCTAACAGGCCACGGACTGGGTTGGGAACCCCTGCCTTAATGTATACCAGGCACAGCACTAAAATTTTTGAACGCATTAGCTCTTTTGATTGACATTACAGAAAGATACTATATGTATATTTCCCTGTCTATGAATAAAACTTAGAGAAGTTAAACAATCTGTGTGGGGTTACACTACTTATAGGGGATAGAACTTAGATTTAAATTCAAGCTGTCTAACTCATCTAAAGCTTGTGAGCATAACTATGACTGTACTGTCCTATGATATTTGGTACTAAATATGTGATAATGACAGCAGAGGTAATTGGCATTTTCCTGTTTATCTTCATAGCATGGTAAACAGGTAGGGACTCTAACTTGCCTTACATGCTGTAATTGATTAATGGAAGATCTGGAGCTAGAGCCCCAGTCTGTTGTGGGTCCTGTCCTCATTCTTCTATACCTAACTTTTGAAAGTATTATTCTTATTTAAAAGCTTTTTTTAAAACAAAACTCAAGGAGTAAACATCAAGAAAATAGCAACAACAAAATCTCATTAGTTTTATCACACTAGGAATCTCGCCAGATAAGCCATGTTTGGCAACACCAGGTTTATATGAGTCACTCTCTCGGAGACTGCATTCTTTAATTTGGTTGCTCCGCTTGAGAGTTTTAATTTCCTATTGTTCTTTAATCATTTGTGGATGCTTTTAATTAAGAGGCCTCAGAATTTTCACAAGTGAAGTCTATTATCCAACCTCTTTTTATAAAAATAAGATATGAAAATTAGATTTAAACATTGAGTTTGTGGCATAATCACCAAAAAGTAAGGAGTGGTTTTTATTTCTCAAATCTGCTTTTGTAATATCTCTCCTATTGATTATTCCCTCAAGTATTGCCACTATTGCCAATTTTTAAAACTTGTTTTAGATTAATGAAGATTTTGGAAAGACATATATCTAAATCCCCTCACATATAAAAATAGTCAACTTAAACCACACTTAAATCAACAAAATAAAAAGGCTGTTTGTATTCACTAGATCTCTCACTGTGGACTTTTAGATGTGAATATCCTCCTTCATTTATATTTTTTCTAATTTAATTTAAAAATAGAATCTATTTTTATTGTCAGGTTTCTGCCATCCTACCCCTCCCCCAAATAAAATCCTATGTTTATTTTCCCGAGGCCTCTGTGATCAAACTTACTTAAATGGAAGTTTTGAAAATAAACCAGTTAATTGATACCATTTGCAGCAGCACTATGATAGTTCCATATGGCTTTTTTGGTAATACCAGCTGCCTCATTATAAGCTGTCATTGCAAAACCTCTTGATTAAAACCCAAATATCCCATAGGTAAAACAATATTGCTTTCATTCCTTCAAACTCTACATTTGCAGTGGCAGAAATATGAGACCCATGTTTGTGTGAAGGTCATTGTGCGCAGAATGTGCTGATTCCAAACAAATGTTTAAGAGAGATTCATTTAGTAGATGTTAAAAGCTGGCCTGCTTGAAACCTGTTTTCCTCTGTATTTTTAGGATCAATGTTTAAAATAATTTTATACTAATAGTATATTCTTTCTGCATGTTCCATGTATAAATGAAAACACTAGGTCATGTGTAGATTAACCACAGAATTTTAATAGAAAATAATGTTTTCAGAGGTAGACCTCTTTGGACACTGAGTAACTGTGGGTACTATTTTCCAAATGGCTGAGCATAATTTTTCCCCACCATATAAATCTCTAGAGAAATCTTATTAAAACCTATCACACATTTTCCTGCAATCTTAAACAGGATATATGTGATACAATTAAGCCCTTTTATAATAACTCAGGGTCATCATTATGGATATCAGTTAGAATGCTGGGCTAGAAGCCACCATCATCTCACTTGGATCACTGCAATAGCTTGTTAACTCGTTTCCCAGCATCTACACATGCCCCATTCCAATTCTTTCTCCTCCACACAGCTGCTGGAGTGACCTTTAAAATAGAGGAATCTGATCATTTCAGGAACCTGCTTTTTAAAACCTTCAGTGGCTTCCTATTTCTCTTAAGATGAAATCTAAAATTTATAATGTATCTTCTAAAGGCCTCCACTCCACCCACCTTCCTCTAGACTCCTAAATTTGCTTCAGATCCTTTACAGGTCTTTGGACCTGAAACACTAGGACCAAGCTAGTGTGGTAGAATGCAAATGCTTCGCAGAATTTTCCCATCTCAATACATAAAATAATGCACAAAACATAATTTTTGAAATCATCAACCACAAAGAAAAACATCAGCAATAGTAACCAAAAAAGAAAACAGGCAAGGAAAGAAACAAAAGAGTCACAGTAGACAAAGTCATGAAAATGCTCACTTAATATTTCCAAACAGAGTAAAGGAAATAGCTGCTGACCTGAGAAGAAATAAGTGAAATGGAGGATTTAGATGTGGATACCTCTATTTCTCTATTCCTTTTCCTAATTTAATTTTAAAGTGAAGATTTCCATTCTCTTTAGTTTATGCTCTTCCCCTTCCCCCCACATACAAAAAAACCCCCTAAGTTTATTTCCCTAAACAATACAAAAGGAAACAGCCATGTACACTTCCTTTAAAAATGAAAGTGAAAGAAGCAGAACACAAAGAACTCATCCTAGAAGAAAATAGAATTCTATAAAAAGGAAACTTCATAATTTCATTTTGCTATCAAGCAACTTAGTAGATCACAAAGAGCATCAAAAATGAGTTAAGGACAATTGCAGATCAAGAAAAAGGAGAAACAGCATCACAGAGCCATGGCACAAATCCTCACTTCAAGGCCCTTGGCACTGTTTTAGTGGTTAATAAAAAAAGATTAATTATCTCTGAAAAAAAAGGCAGCAGCCCCAGTCAGGGGCTTACAGATAAAATCCCCATCTCCCTGGGATGGAGCACATGGGAGAAGGGGCAGCTGTGGGTGCAGCTTCAGCAGACTTAAACGTTCCTGACTGCCAGCTCTAAAGAGACCAGCAGATCTCCCAGCATAGCATTCGAGCTCTGTTAAGGGACTGCCTCCTCAAGTGGGTCCCTGACCACCATGTCTCCTGACTGAGAGACACCTCCCAGCAGGGGCCGACAGACACCTCATACAGGAGAGCTCCGGCTGGCATCTGGTGGGTGCCCCTCTGGGACGAAGCTTCCAGAGGAAGGAACAGGGTGCAATCTTTGCTGTTCTGCAGCCTCCACTGGTGATACACAGGCAAACAGGGTCTGGAGTGGACCTCCAACAAACTCCAGCAGACCTGCAGCAGAGGGGTCTAACTGTCAGAAGGAAAATTAACAAACAGAAAGGAATACCTTCAACATCAATAAAAAGGACATCTATTCAGAAACCCCATGCAAAGTTCACCAACATCAAAGACCAAAGGTAGATAAATCCACAAAGACTGGGAGAAACCAGCGCAAAAAGGCTGAAAATTCCAAAAACCAGAATATCTCTTCTCCTCCAAAGGGTCACAACTCCTCACCAGCAAGGGAATAAAACTGGATGGAGAATGAGTTTGACAAATTGCCAGAAGTAGGCTTCAGAAGGTGGGTAATAACAACTTCCTCCGAGCTAAAGGAGCATGTTCTAACCCAATGCAAGGAAGCTAAGAAACCATTGAAAAAAAGTTAGAGGAAATGCTAACTAGAATAACTAGTTTAGAGAACATAAATGACCTGATGGAACTGAATAACACAGCAAGAGAACTTCATGAAGCATACACAAGTATCCACAGCTGAACTGATCAAGCAGAAGAACAGATATCAGAGATTGAAGATTAACTTAATGAAATAAAACAAGAGACAAGATTACAGAAAAAAGAATGAAAAGGAATGAACAAAGCCTCCAAGAAATATGGGACTATGTGAAAAGACCAAACCTATGTTTGATTGGTGTACCTGAAAGTGACCGGGAGAATGGAACCAAGTTGGAAAACACTTCAGGATATAATCCAGGAGAACTTCCCCAACCTAGCAAGACAGGCCAACATTCAAATTCAGGAAATGCAGAGAACACCACAAAGATACTCCTCGAGAAGAACAACCCCAAGACACATAATTGTCAGAATCACCAAGGTTAAAATGAAGGAAAAAATGTTAAGGGCAGCCAGAGAGAAAGGTCAGGTTACCCACAAAGGGAAACCCATCAGACTAACAGCGGATCTCTCTGCAGAAACCCTACAAGCCAGAATAGAGTGGGAGCCAATATACAACATTCTTAAAGAAAAGAATTTTCAACCCAGAATTTCATATGCAGCCAAACTAACCTTCATAAGCAAAGGAGAAATAAAATCCTTTACAGACAAGCAAATGCTGAGAGATTTTGTCACCACTAGGCCTGCCTTACAAGAGCTCCTAATGGAGGCACTAAACATGGAAAGGAACAACTGGTACCAGCAACTGCAATAACATATCACATTCTAAAGACTATCAACACTATAAAGAAATTGCATCAACCAACGAGCAAAATAACCAGCTAGCATCATAAGGACAGGGTCAGATTCACACATAACAATATTAACTTGAAATGTAAAGAGGCTAAATGCCCCAGTTAAAAGACACAGACTGGCAAATTGGATGAAGAGTCAAGACCCATCGGTGTGCTGTATTCAGGAAACCATCTCACAGGCAAAGACACACATAGGCTCAAAATAAAGGGATGGAGGAATATTTATTAAGCAAACAGAAAGCAAAAAAAAAAAAAAAAAAAAAAAAAAGCAGGGATTGCAATCCTAGTCTCTGATAAAACAGACTTAAAACCAACAAAGATCAAAAGAGAGAAGGGCATTACATAATGGTAAAGGGATCAATTCAAAAAGAAGAGCTAACTGTCCTAAATATATATACACCCAATACAGGAGTGCCCAGATTCATAAAGCGAGTTCTTAGAGACGTACAAAGAGTTGTAGACTCCTGCACAATAATAGTGGGAAACTTTAACACCCCACTGTCAATATTAGATCAACGAGACAGAAAATTAACAAGGATATTCTGGACTTCAACTCAGCTCTGGACCAAGTGGACCTAATAGACATCTACAGAACTCTCTACCCCAAATCAACAGAATATACATTCTTCTCAGCACCACATTGCACTTATTCTAAAATTGACCACATAATTAGAAGTAAAACACTCCTCAACATATGCAAAAGAATGGAAATCTTAACAAACAGTCTCTCAGACCACAGTGCAATCAAATTAGAACTCAAGATGAAGAAACTCACTCAAAACCGCACAACTACATGGGAACCGAACAGTCTGCTCCTGAATTACTACAGGGTAAATAATAAAATTAAGGCAGAAATAAATAAGTTCTTGAAACCATTGAGAACAAAGACACAACATACCAGAATCTCTGGGACATAGCTAAAGCAGTGTTTAGAGGGAAATTTATAGCCCTAAATGCCCACAAGACAAAGCAAGAAAGATCTAAAGTCAACACCCTAGCATCACAATTAAAAGAACTAGAGAAGCAAGAGCACACAAATTCAAAAGCTAGCAGATGGCAAGAAATAACTAAGATCTGAGCAGAACTGAAGGAGATAGAGACACAAAAAACCCTTCAAAAAATCAATGAATCCAGAAGCTGGTTTTTTGAAAAGATCAAAAAAGTAGACTGCTAGCCAGACTAACCAAGAAGAAAAGAGAAACGATTCAAATAGATGCAATAAAAAATGATAAAGGGGATATCACCACTGATCCCACAGAAATACAAACTACCATCAGAGAATACTGTAAACACCTCTACACAAATAAACTAGAAAGTTTAGAAGAAATGGATACATTTCTGGACACATACACCCTCCCAAGACTAAACCAGGAAGAAGTCAAATCCCTGAATAGACTAATAACAAGTTCTGAAATTGAGGCAGTAATAGCCTATCAACCAAAAAAAAAGCCCAGAACCAGACAGATTCACAGACAAATTCCACCAGAGGTACACAGCAGAGCTGGTACCATTCTTTCTGAAACTATTCTAAACAACAGAAAAAGAGGGAGTCCTCTCTAACTCATTTTATGAGGCCAGCATCATCCTGATTCCGAAACCTGGCAGAGACACAACAAAAAAAGAAAATTTCTGGCCAATATCCCTGGTGAACATCGATGCAAAAAATCCTCAATAAAATACTGGCAAACTGAATCCAGCAACACATCAAAAAGCTTATCTACCATGATCAAGTCAGCTTCATCCCTGGGATGCAAGGCTGGGTCAACATATGCAAATCAATAAACATAATCCAGTGCATAAACAGAACCAATGACAAAATCCACATGATTATCTCAATAGATGCAGAAAAGGCCTTCAACAAAATTCAACATCCCTTCATGCTAAAAACTCTCAATAAACTAGGTATTGATGGCACATATCTCAAAATAGTAAGAGCTATTTTTTGACAAACCCACAGCCAATATCATACTGAGTGGGCAAAACTGGAAGCATTCGCTTTGAAAACTGGCGCAAGACAAGGATGCCCTCTCTCACCACTCCTATTCAACACAAAATTGGAAGTTCTAGCCAGGGCAATCAGGCAAGAGAAAGAAATAAAGGGTATTCAAATAGGAAGAGAGGGAGTCAAATTGTCTCTGTTTGCAGATGACATGATTTTACATTTAGAAAACCCCGTTATCTCAGCCCAAAAACTTCACAAGCTGATCAGCAACTTCAGCAAAGTCTCAGGATACAAACTCTCTGTGCAAAATCACAAGCATTCCTATACACCTCTAATAGACAGAGACCCAAATCATGAGTGAACTTCCATTCACAACTGCTACAAAGAGAATAAAATACCTAGCAATACAACTTCCAAGGGATGTGAAGGACCTCTTGAAGGAGAACTACAAACCACTGCTCAAGGAAATAAGAGAGGACACAAACAAATGGGAAAACATTCCATGCTCATGGATAGGAAGAATCAATATCGTGAAAATGGCTGTAATGCACAAAGTAATTTACAGATTCAATGCTATCCCCATCAAGCTACCATTGACTTTCTACACAGAATTAGAAAAAACTACTTTAAATTTCATATGGAACCAAAAAAAAGCCCACATAGCCAAGACAATCCTAAGCAAAAAAAAAAAAAAAAAAAAAAAAAAAAAAAAAAACAACGCTAGAGGCATCACACTACCTGACTTCAAACTATACTACAAGGCTACAGTAACCACAACAGCATGGTACTGGTACCAAAACAGATATATAGACCAATGGAACAGAACAGAAGCCTCAGAAATAATGCCACAGATCTACAACCTTCTGATTGTTGACAAACCTGACAAAAACAATCAATGGGGAAAAGATTCTCTATTTAATAAATAGTTTTGAAAAAACTGGCTAGCCATATGCAGAAAACTGAAACTGGACCCCTTCCTTACACCTTATACAAAAATTAACTCAAGTTGGATTAAAGACTTAAACGTAAGACCTAAAACCATAAAAACCCTAGAAGAAAGCCTAGGCAAATCCAATCAGGACATAGGCATGGGCAAAGACTTCATGACTAAAACACCAAAAGCAACGGCAACAAAAGCCAAAATTGATAAATGAGATCTAATTAAACTAAAGAGCTTTTGCACAGCAAAAGAAACTATCATCAGAGTGAACAGGCAACCTACAGAATGGGAGAAAATTTTTGCAATCTATCCATCTGACAAAGGGCTAATATCCAGAACCTACAAGAACTTAAATTTACAAGAAACAAACAATCCCATCAAAAGGTGGGTGAAGGATATGAACAGACACTTTGCAAAAGAAGACATTTATGTGGCCAAGAAACATATGAAAAAATGCTCATCATCACTGGTCATCAGAGAAATGCAAATCAAAACTGCAATGAGATACCATCTCATGCCAGTTAGAATGACAATCCTTAAAAAGTCAGGAAACAACAGATGCTGGAGAGGATGTGGAGAAATAGGAATGCTTTTACACTGTTGGTGGGAGTGTAAATTAGTTCAACCATTGTGGAAGACAGTGTGGCGATTCCTCAAGGATCTAGAACCAGAAATATCATTTGACCCAGCAATCCCATTACTGGGTTGTACCCAAAGGATTATAAATCATGCTACTGTAAAGACACATGCACACGTATGTTTATTGTGGCATTGTTCACAATAGCAAAGACTTGGAACCAACCCAAATGCCCACCAATGATAGACTGGGTAAAGAATATGTGGCACATATACACCATGGAATACTATGCAGCCATTAAAAAGGATGAGTTCATGTCCTTTGCAGGGACATGGATGAAGCTGGAAACCATCATTCTCAGCAAACTAACACAAGAACAGAAACCAAACACTGCATGTTCTCACTCATAAGTGGGAGTTGAACAATGAGAACACATGGACACAGGGAGGGAAATGTCACACACCAGGGCCTGTTTGGGGGGGTGGGGCTGCTAGGGGAAGGATGGCATTAGTAGAAGTCCCTAATGTAGATAACAGGTTGGTGGGCACAGCAAACCACCATGGCATGTATATACCTATGTAACCTGCATGTTCTGCACATGGACTCCAGAACTTTAAGTATAATTTAAAAAATACTAATTAAAATGAGGATTCATTAACGATATGCACATACCTTAAATATATCTTAAAGTTAAGACATTTAAATGCCATTTATTAGTTAGGGCAGGGTCTTTTGAGTATCGTTTAGTGTTTGGAATTTGATTTTATCTTTCTTTTATAAACTATACCCATAATACAGCATCAGACGTTTCCAGTTTGGATTCCTTAAAGTAGAAAAGGAACTTGATATATGCAAAGCAATAGGATCTTTCTCCCTCTCCTTCTGTGACCTCCACCTTTTTTTTTAAGTGACTTGCTTTTCTTGACTCTTTAAAAACATTTTCTTTAGATTTCATAGAACAACTCTTTTTTTTACATTCATTTTTATTTACTTTTCCCATAGCAACCCTATGACCTAACACTGTTATCTCCATTTCATCAATGGAGAAACTCAGACTTTAAGAAGATGACCCTATTTTGTGCAATATATGAATTATAATTGATTCATTTGAAGTCTAATAAATGTATTGATAACTGACAACTTGAAGCGAGGTATAGAAAATGCCAAGATATTATTATAGCATAAGATACTAGGTTATTTTTGCATGAAATAATACAACTATGTTTTTATAATCCTTGTAGCCAAGTTTATCTCTAGAAATAAAATTTATAATGGAGATATCATTATCAGCATGATTTTGCATACAATCTCTTAAAACAGATTTCAGAGCAACTAATGATCTAGTCAGAAGGCCTGAATTTTAATTCAGACAAAACCAGTTACTAATTCTATGACCTTGAATAAACTATCTATTCTCCTTAGGCCTCTGTACATGGAGGAGATTGAATTTAATGGATTCCCCAAGGTCTTTCTAATCTCTGATTTTCTGCTTACAAACTATTTTACAAACTATAAGGCCTTCTGATTAAAATGTATTAGACAATAAACATACTTTTTGTGAAACACATTGCAAAATGCAAAATTTATATTGGATTTCTCAGTTTTTAATGAATTGGGTGAAAATTGAATGTAACAAAAAAGTTCATAATAAAAAAGTTCATAAATGATTCCATTGTTAATAAAAATTATAAATATAAAACATTTCAGAAACATTTTGAAATCAAGCAGCTAAGTTAAAAAAATAAAGCAAGATAAAAATTTGTTCTTAATGATCTATAACTCTTAAAATCAGTCTGTATACTATCCATCTGTTACAACCTGGAATTACTATAAAATTAGCCTAACATGTATTAACAACTAGCAAAAGAGAATCAGAGATTCCTAGGGTGCTTAAATAAGTATTACCAGAAAAGACTCATGTTTCTGTCTGTTGGTCCGTCCACCAGTAGGGTTCATTCTAGACCGCAGCAGCAACCCCTTTTTCCCTGACCAATTCATTTTAATCTACTATAAGATTATACATAGCTTTAATCACACCACGTCTCTTTTTAAGGGTTTTTGGTGACTCTGTTGCCTAGAGAATTAGGTCTTGACCACTTACCCTGATTTTCAAGGCTCTCTCAGGCTGGCCCCTGCCTGTCTTTCCAACCTCATTCCTTATTGTTTCCTTGTATGTGCCTTTCATAATAGGCTATGTGAACTATTTAATATTTGCTTTCCCAGGACATTCCCTCTTTACCTTGCTCATGTGGCCCTGCTGCAAATATTGCCTTTCCCCTCATCATCCCAGCTTTTCACTCCCTCCATCTTTCCAGACGCAACTCAAATAGCACTCCTCTTACAAAGCCTTCCTTGATCTCCTCAGTCGAAATTTCTCTCTACTGTGGAGTGTAATAGGCCTTTATCTGTGACCCTCATCAGTTCTCCATTCTTGGTAGAGGTTTTTAAGTATGTAACTTACTGGGCTGGAAATTTGAGTTAGTCAAATATATTCCTGTATGCTGAATAGCGAATAGTTTATAACACAGTCTTTTATATAGTAAGGCTTTAATTAAATATGCAAAATTATCACTGGTATACACTATTTCTGGGTTCACTTCACCAAATATTTATTAGATACCTACAATGTGCAAGTCACTTCAGTATGAAGGGTGAGACGTAAAAGGATTAGTTAATACAAGACAGATGAACAAAAGAAATGGAATCACTTCTCAGTTTCCAAAAACTTGATAAATGAAAATACCACCAAAGAAACCAACAGTCACTCACTCAAGCAAAATGATATTTTTGTTGTCAACTCCAACTGCAGAAGGTGAGAAGGCAGGGATTTGAGACTGTGGAAAGTGAAACTGAATATAAGGAGAGATTACTAGAGTGCATAATTTGAAATGATACTCAAAATTAAAGTTTAATGATAGTATTTGAGAAAAAATAAGTTATGAACCAGGCATGTTTGTATTCAGTCACAGTGAAATTTACAAGAAGAGATTTTCTGTAAAAAGACTAAGGAAAGGCCAAGATTAGAATGAAGAATTACATTGACTTAGGTTGCTTTTTCAGTTTATATCATACTAAAGGAGCGCACATGCCAGACTTACAAGTCAGCTCTAAAACACAAGTGGTATCAGGGACAAGTATCAAAATGATCAAAAATGATTTTACAATCACTTAAAAACCCACAAATATTTATTGGCCTACAATGTGGTAGGCCTTTTCTTGGAACTGGGGATACAATAGTGAATCACACAGGTCCCTAACCTGTGCCTCACTAACATACAATGTCATTCACACACACACACACACACACACACACACACACACACACACACACACACACACACACACACAGGTTTGTATTCCAAACACATTTTTATAGTTTTCTAATTTTTTGTTTTGATGTAATTGTCAACCAGAATTGGTAATGTTTTGGGTATTGCCAGAATTGAGGTCTTGGTGTAGATGGGAGGTGGCAGGTGGGAGTTGGGGGCTGGGGATGTGAGAGAAAGGTGTCTAGTATGCCCCAAGGATGAATGGTGATACCAGTCACTGAGAGCAAAGGATGGGGAAAGGGGAAAGAATATGTTTCCTGTTGGGTTTGAGCTGCTTTTGAGCCATCTTAGATGTTGAGTAGGTGTTGGATATGGGACTGAAACTAGACAGGGAACTGGAGCCAAACACAGAGGCTCAGACTAGAAATAAAAATGTGGGAGCCATTTAGGTTTGGGTAGTGGTTGAAGCTCTCTTTGAATGAAATGGTGTAAGTAGCTGATTAAGTGTTAGAATGCATACAGCTAGAATCCATGTTTCAGGTATTAAGTTTTAAACAAGTACTAAAACAGCTTTTGAAACTCATATATTTATAGCTTTGCCATGTATTAATGCAATATAAATTTCCTTCCTTTACAGGTGGATGATTGTGGCTTTTCTTTGAATCATCCTAATCAGTTCTTTTGTGAGAGCCAAAGTATTCTAAATGGTGGTAAAGACATAAAGAAGGAACCTATCCAACCAGAAACTCCTCAACCCAAACCAAGTGTCCAGAAAACCAAGGATGCATCATCTGCTCTGGCCTCTTTAAATTCCTCTCTGGAAATGGATATGGAAGGACTAGAAGATTACTTTAGTGAAGATTCTTAGGCAGTTTTCTAACCCATTTTCCTCAATAGCCTGTTTCCTGTTTTTAAGATTTTGCCTTTGTTGTTGAAAAAGGGTTTCACTCTGTCACCAAGGCTTAGTGCAGTGACACAATTACAGCTGATTGCAGCCTTGACCTTCCCAGCTCAGGTGATCCTGCTACCTCAGCCTCCCAAGTAGTTGGGACCACAGGTGTGTACCCCATATCCAACTAATTTTTTTCAATTTTTTTTTGTAGAGGTGAGGGTCTCCCTATGTTGCCCAGGCAGATCTCAGACTCCTGGACTCAAGCGATCCTCACACCTCAGCCTCCCAGAGTGCTGGGATTACAGTTGTGAGCCACTGTGCCTGGTCTTTCTTTTTTTAACCTTTTTGTTTAACTTCTCTCTTCATTGCATCCCAATCCATCTACAGGCATGCACACTTATTAGGAAAGCAGGTTTGAGGTAACAACAGAGACTTTCACTATATTTTACTTTGACAGAAGGAAAGAGGAAGAGTTTCTATTAAAATCTGTCATTTGAGTGATGTCATTTAAGTCCTATTTTAGGAGATAAAAACAGCTTTGGGGACTGGTTAAAGTCCCCCAGAAACTACAATAAAGAATAACTTTTGTTTTAACTCTTAATCACTTTGTAATTTTGACTCAATCCTTTTCTGGACCATTTTTGTTAATAAATGTCAAAGTGTACATGACAGTGTCTGCGTATAATTGGGAGAGTCTTATGTCATAACAGATTGGACATTACTTCAGTTTTAAAGTGGTAGTTTGAAGTATCCAACACATTGCTGATCACTAATGAATATTTTAAACTTTTCTTTACCTTTTTTTAAGAGTTGACCTATTTGTGGTTATTCTACATCAGGCACCAGACTCTCCTGAGTGAACTGTGACTTGGGAATTAAAATAAAGTATAGCCAGTTATATTTATTAAGGAATAATAGGGATATTTTATTATGTAAAATAATGACACGTCTTATCTGCTGCCATTACTCTGGGGACAGGTTCATGAAGAATAGACAATTAGCAAGCAAGAAAGTTGTACATATAAAATAAAGTGTTTATTTTACCCTCCAACTTCCATACCTTATTGCTTCTGTAGTTGCTGTGAATTACCAAATAGATTTGGTAAATTAATTAACTTCAGCAATGAATAGTGATACTTATAGTAACCCCCTCCTTTAAGTGCCAGCAATAGAATTTAATAAATGTTGTGGATGATTACAGACATACGAGATCAATGCCCTGTTCTCTCTGCCTGCTTTCGTCAAGGGAGTAAGGTGAAGTTGATGATCCCTGGCACGTATGCCTTGTGGAGCAGTGCCATTGTGGATACCCTCATCTAAATAGTGATTTCCTCCCGGGGCTCTACTCACTCACCAATAGGATTTGGGGTGTTCAGGAAACCCTGTTTGAAACATAGTTCTTCCTCATCTATTACCTTGGAATATGTGAAAAGTATTAGTCTATTTCTGTCTTCTTTTCTTAGTAAAGAGGGATACTTTTATCCTTTTGAATCAGATACTAACTAAATTGAAAAGAGGACATTGTATTCAGAAAACTAGACTGTTAGCAGCACCATATTTTTAATCATGTGATAAACTGCATCACGATGAAAAGGATTAAACAGGATCAGATCATCAGAAACTAAAAATGTCAACTAATTGAGTTTTCGTTTTAGGCTTCTGAGTCAAAGATTTCTTGGAATATTTAGCAACGTATAATTAAATGAGATACTATCTAAACTTTTACTTGTCTTGGTGAATTATTATTACCTAGTTCAGAAAATAGTATTATTCCACTACAAATTACCCGTATAAATCTCTGCCTTCTGAAACCATCTGCTACTCCCTTCATCATTTGTCGTTCTCAACAGGAATCTGATGATTGCCTACCACTTTATCCATGGACTGCAAAACCACAAGTCCTCTTTTTAAAAAAAAAATAAGAACAAGTGCTACCTGGAGCTGTTTTAACCACAGAATTAAGTTAGCTTTAGAAAGCCGAGCATAGAAATGTAGGTCTTCATTGTGTTAAAAGGGAGATATTAGAAGTACTCTCGCCACTCTAGTTCAATGAGAAATTTTCTGATAGAATGTTTTGTATCTGACAGCATTTTGCAAGGCTGTCTTTTTCTACTGCTTCACGTTCTCCTTCTTTTATGAAGCCTGTGATCCCACCAGCTAAAAGGACAGAGTCATTAACGGCATGGTAGATGCAGCTTACTGGACTGTTTATTTTATACTGGCAGCCCCAGGAATTTGTGTCATCTTACTTGAATGTTTTATATGTGTCTAGTTGAACTCCAAAATAACACTAGTTTAAATATTAGTTGTATTACAGGTTCAATTCAATTTATTCATAATAAGGTTTGATCTCCTGTCATGTATTATACAGAAGAATATATAAACATTCTGTGAAATCTATAGATTAGAGGATAGGGGACACAGGTTTATAAAAGAAGAACAAAATTAATGCTTTTCTGGTGCTTTTTGGAGTTGGAAAAAGCAATTTATTTTTCATGCTTCACAGGTCTTGACAATTTTGTTTTCTTTGAGAGCAGACCTGTTTGAATTGGGTGATGTAAAGAACCCAAAAGAAAAAATCAAAAGCCAACAGACTCTTTTCAAAACCGTAGCCAGTGAAAAAGAATATGAGTCTTCCAGATCTTTTAACTGTTAGTCTTTTATTATCTCTTCAAGGAAGAGAGGCTGTATGATTGTATCAAAGACAAAAGAAGAAACCGCAAAAGAAAGAAACTAGGTTGGAAATCTGTAGCTGGTTGAAGCAATGACATTGTTAGGAGAAATTCTGTCATATTTCTTTCAAGTTGTTTTTCCATAATGTTTTTCACTCTGTCCATACAGTAAAAAACTTAATTGCCATGTGCATAAAAGAACACTAGGAAGGTTTTAAGTAAACTTTTTAGGACTGCTTATAATATTGTAGAGTCATAAAAGTGAATAGTTATAGATTTCAAATGAGCTGGGAATGGAATAAAGCAATGGGAAAGATCTTTAATTCACATACAATTTTAATAAGCTAAGGGAATTCTTCTCTCTCTAAAAGCATGCAGGTTGTTTTGCTTGTTACACTTTGCTGTCTTATTAATACTCAGGGTCTTTGCAAGCAAACTTCTGTAATTCTTTACAAAGAAGAGAAGAAAACTTCTGGGATTTAAGCTTGAAAGGCGAAATGAGACAACTCTAAAGTTCTGTTTCAGTTAGGGTCTACTCTGCAAATTTAATCAAGGTCTTCCACAGGCATCAGCTTGACATTAAATTTAAGTGCCCATTAAAGTGAGAGTTTGACAGCAGTTCTGAATGTGAAGCTCAGTCTGAGGACATCTTTACAGCTGGAAGGGAAAAAAAACGTTGAGAAGCCTCAAACCACTGTGGTAATTAGATCCATTTGTTAACTTCTTTTTTAATGTTGGCAAAGGGAGGGAGAGAGAAGGTTGACAGAGGCTGGAATCAGGAAGGCAGTCCAGAGCTCCCTGTAGAAATCAGGTAAGCACAGGGTCCTGTATTGCAGAGAATACTGGCAGATATTCCCTCTGACAAATGAGTGAGATGGGGAATTTATTTGATGAACTTCATTCGGTTTGTCTTCCTTTCAACACACAGAGCCATGGTGTGTGGAAGCTGCGTTTTTGGATAGGTGTGCTGGTTTGGTTGTAAGGCCCTTTGGAAGACACAGAGCATTATTTGGGAGTGGACCTCTGGTGGTACGTTGTTGGCCTGAAGAGTTAATATTTCTCACAAGGGTATCTAACTTATATTCAGGTAATCACTTATTTACCCAAAGCATCTGGTCTTTTCAGTATTGAATTCCTTTTTCACAGGTCACGATTGCCCTAGTCTAAGGCTTCTCACTATAATTGGCATTGTAGGCAATTAGCTTCGTGGAAATCATGTCACTGGTAGGAAATTATCTTCCTACTTCACTGACTTGCCTGCCAAAAATGATACTAGTTCTTGTTATTGGTTTGCTTTCTATCCTGTAAGCTCTTTCTGTTCATTGCTTCATGACATTTTACTTTTTCCAGAATTATCACTGTAGAACCTTATCAAAGGCTAAAGAATATGTCTTTATATAAAGCTCCTGCATTTCCCTTGAGCTTTCCATTGCAGTACTGTTTTTGAACATTGATGACAAGGTAGTGAAACAACACTGCTAATAAATATATAATGGGTTTTTCAATTTAACCTTGCATTTCTAGGTATTCATTCACCACACTGAAACTATGAGGCTTTTTAAGGTTTTGTTTAGTTTTGTACTGAAAGCACAGGGAAAAATAAATTCAACAAATACTGCATTTAATTTAAGACTGACCATCTTGTGAACATTTCCCCGATTACTCCCACACATTTTTTTAGGAGATCTTACCTTCTATTTGAGTCATGGGATACCAAGGTCTTCATTGCTGATTAAAAATGACATAGTGATACCTACTTCTCTTTTCCCTTTCATTATCAAGAATTAAACTGTGATTTAAACAATGCTCTATCACCCTTAACTCTTGGTTGTCCATAGAGTTCCTGCCTGGTTCTCTTCTTACTTCATGAGTCTGCCTGAGTGAACTCATTCACCCCTATGGTATTTTTTTCCATCCATATGCAAATAATCCCCAAATTTGTATCTCCAGCTGAGAATTCTCTGAGCAAAGATCCATCTATCCAGCTATCTCTTGGATCTCTTTTTAGGATATCCCACAAGTATCTCAAATTTAATTTGTTCAAAGATCAGACCTGTTCTCTCACCTATTTCTCACCTATTTTGTCAATACAGAAACCCTAAAGTTAACCTTGACTGTGATTTTCCACCTTCTCCATCCAAATCCAATTGATTCTATTTTAATACCAGTGTGTCTAAACTAGTAGATCTCAAATGGGGGTAATTTTGCCATGCAGGAGACATTTTTGGTGATCACAACTGGAGGAGGACCTGCTCTTGGCATCTAGTGGATGGAGGCTGAGGATGCTACTAAACATCCTACAGTGCCCCTACAGTGCACAGGACAGTCCTTCACCACAAAGAAATATGTGGCCCGAAATGTGCAGAAACCCTGTTCTAAACAGTTTCCTCTCCTCCCTTCCTTCCTTGTACTACATTAGATTGCCCTCTCATCATTCTAAGCGAAGTGGTCTCAACTAACTGGTCTAGTCTCCATTTGCCCACCCTGAACCCCATCCGATATCCTTCTTCAAAATCTAATCCAAATACTTTTCCCCTGGGTGTGTGTCTTGAACACGGCTCTCCGTTACCTATATGAGGAAGTCCAACCACCTATTATTTTGTGCGTGAGGCCCTCTATGACCTGGTTCTGTCTACCTCTCCAGTTCCATCTATTGCCATTCAGCTCCCTACTCTATAATCCAATCCAGTGATTTAGCCATTCTGCACAAACTTTCCCTGCACATTCAACTACACACTCCCTCTTTCCTCATATTACCCTCCCTGCCTGGAATGCCCTTCCATTCCCCACCATGCTAACTACTGTTTCTCCTCTAAGGCTCAGGTTAGGTACATTCCTTCAGCCTTCTCTGTTGACCCCAGTATAGATTCATTGTCCCTTTCAGTTCATCTAACATATGCTATGGATGTTATACTTAATAGCTATATGACAGTACTTATACTTACAATCATCCATTTACTTATGTTTCCCTTATGTTTTATAGTACCCATTTACTTATGTTTCCCTTATGTTTTATAGTACCCATTTACTTATGTTTCCCTTCATTACACTATAAAGTCCTTGAGGACAGAAACTATATCACTTTCATATTTGAATCCCTAATAATTAGCATTGTCTCTAGTTCTTTGCATCGTGCATGACATTCTTGGGCACTCAGTAAACATGGGTAGAGTGCATGAATGGTTACTTGCTTATTAGGAATCTCAAATTCATTGTTTTTAAGACCTACAAACAAGGGGTGGAATGGATTCTGGGCCCCAGATTGGAGACATCACTTACAATCAAAACTTGGGCAAGCTCTTTAATTTTCCATGCTTCATTTGCTTCATATGACAAGGGGATAATGATTACACCTACTTCAAGATGATTCTATTAGCTGCTATTACATCTACAACAGTCAGAATTCTGTCTGTCACGTGGAAACACTTGTGTTGTTTGATAATCAACCCTTCCAACAAATGTTATACTACTACATGGATTCTCCCTATTTCAGGGGCATTCATTCTGAATATCCCTTACCTGGAGTAATCCTCTTATATCCACTATAATGGGGTAGACTGTGGGATCTAGGGGAATGCACCAAACAAAGTTTTAGCAAAAAGCACACACGTCAATGGATCTATGACTGCCACACCTTTGACACCTTTGTAGCCAGGCAGGGTAGATGGAGAATTGCCAACTATGAAACTGGAGGATTTCCTACATATGGGATATACTGTGGTATGAAAAGTTGCTCACAGGGTGTCACAGAGTACTGCTTGCTCTTAAAAAGGAAGAACTGAGGCAACTTGAGCTTTGGAATATAGAAATGTCAGTGGGTTTACATATGACTCCCAGTGAAAGTGATACCTGTGGGGTACCTAGTCTCCAAGCACTTAAAAAAGTAGTTTTAGGTAGATCAAATCAGGTGCCACCATGGCACTTCTGGAAGTGGATAAGAACGGTAATCATCTGCATTTTCCCTAAAAATGACTCTGAGAGGCCTGGCATGGTGGCTCACACCTGTCACCATCACTTCAGGAGGTCAAGGTGGGAAGATCACGTGAGGCCAAGAGCCTGAGACTAGCCTGGGCAACACAGTAAGACTGTCTCTACAAAAAATAAACTAGCCAGGTATGGTGGCACTCACTTATAGACCCAGCTACTCAGGAGGCTGAGGCAGGAGGATCGCTTGTACCTAGGAGTTCGAGGCTGCAGTGAGCTATATCTAGCCACTGTGCTCCAGGCTAGGTGACAGAGTGAGACCCTGTCTCTAGGGGGGAAAAAATAGATTAAATTCTCTGAGCTGGCTCACAGGTTCTCTGATCAAATCAGGCACGGTGACTTCTTGGCCTGTGCACTTCCTTCTTCATCATGGTTTTCTCACCAAGGGCCTTAGGACCAGCTCCTATGACTGAGCAGCCCAACTTGCAAGCCGCAACTAAACCAACTCATTTCTATTATGTGGCAAGTTAATTAACCCTCCTGCTTCAGTTTCCCTATCTGTAAAATTGGGATAATAGCATTACCTACATCACAGAATTTGTATGAGATGAAATGAGATAGCCAGTGTCAAATGCTTTGTGAACAGTCTGACACATGGTAAGCTCGAAATAATTGTTAGCTATTATTATGCAAAAGTTCTACTAAATTTTGTTTGAAATAGGGTTATCCAAATAAAGTTTGGAAACTATAATAAACTTTTGTGCATCAAAGGGTAAGAATTCTATGGAATACAAATTCTAAAACCCTTAGCCCTTCAGATAAAAAAATAAACTACAGACTCTCAGAATTATAAAGAATTTCTACTACCAGGATTTCTCCTAACTGTGTTTTGCTTGGCATCATGGAATAATCTATGCAAAGTAGAGCCAGGATTCCTCAAGGATCTAGAACTAGAAATACCATTTGACCCAGCAATCCCATTACTGGGTATATACCCACAGGATTATAAATCATGCTACTCTAAAGACACATGCACACATATGTTTATTGCAGCACTATTCACAATAGCAAAGACTTGGAACCAACCCAAATGCCCATCAATGATAGGCTGGATTAAGAAAATGTGGCACATATACACCATGGAATACTATGTAGCCATAAAAAGGATGAGTTCATGTCCTTTGCAGGGACATGGATGAAGCTGGAAACCATCATTCTCAGCAAAATATTACAAGGACAGAAAATGAAACACCGCATGTTCTCACTCATAGGTGGAAATTGAATGATGAGAACACTTGGACACAGGGAAGGGAACGTCAGACACTGGGGCCTGTTGGGGGGTGGGGGGCTGGGGGAGGGATAACATTAGGAGAAATACCTAATGTAAATGACAAGTTGATGGGTGCAGCAAACCAGCTTGACACACGTATACCTATGTATCAAACCTACATGTTTTGCACATGTACCCTAGAACTTAAAGTATAATAAATATTTAAAAAAAAGAAAAAAAAAGAGTTTCCGGGACAAGTCCTCACCCTACAGTTGTTCACATTCAAAGCTTTTTGGAGAGGCTAAATATAATGCAGGGTGTGTCTCAAAAGAAAACACATAAGGGAATGGACTACCCTCAATTTCCTTCTCTAAACTGAGGACTTGTTTTTGAAGACTGAAAAAAAAAATTCCTCTTGCAATCTCAAATGGTAATATAGTAATTTCAAAAGTTGCTCAGAAGCTGTTTGTTTTCGATAGTAAAATGAAAAGTTAAAATTGTAAAATTGTAAGCATCAAAAATCAATCAGTATCTTTCTTATTTGAACCTTGATATTAAATTATATAGGTATTCATTTTACTTGTCCCTTCCTTCTTTTGCTTTAAATGCAAAAATGACAGAAAATTCTTACTCAGCCAAAGATTATTTTTATATTCCATCTTCTCTTGTGATGCTTCTTGCACCCATATTAGGAAACAAAGTCTTGAAGTTCTTTGTAATGTTATATGTTACTTCAATTAAGTATGTACAAATGTCATTTTTTAATTTTTAAACTAGAAAACAAGATACATTTTTTGAATTTCTAGCCACTTAGACTTATTTTTACAATTTGCCTCTTTATTCAGTCATATTGTCTGTCATTTCCTTTCTTTTATATTTGGTAAAAATTTTCATAGGCAAAAATTTTCCCATTATGATCTAATGATTTTTAAATTTTCCACATTCCTAGAATTCTGATTAAACAATCTCAAGGCATTTTTCAATTCGAAGCTCAAATCAAGCATAATTCAGGTTCATGAACATATGGAGATAATGATGGCTTAGAAAATTTGCTTTGACCAAACTGCTGCTTTTGCTGCCTTGAAGCTCTGTGGCTATTTGCTTTGTAAATTTCTCCCCACTGTGGTTTCAGATACCTTGGGGAAAATAGACTCCTAGGCATACGAGGAGGACAGGATGGTAGTGGGAATGTAGAAGGATAAAGGTTCTACTCTATTGCTCTGGTTCTACACCCTTCAATTATATTACAGGGGGTCAACACTGAGGTGGCACTTCTAACTCTCAGAACTCTGTTAAGAACATCTCTACCTCCTAGTGGTCTTTTTGTTGATTCCTTTGTTTGTTTTACTAATAATGTATTGTATTTTAACTGTTATAGCTTTTATACCATTTAAATTGTTTTTCTGATAATTTTACCCCAATTTACATCTGTCCTACTATGTAAGTGTCATGCTTTGATGTGCTTCCTTTTTTCATATACTTTTTAATTGAAGATAAAATATATACAGAAAAGTGCAGGAAACATTATTGCACAAACTTTTACAAATTGAACTCACCGTATAACAACGCAGATTAAGAAACTGAATCTCAACAGCACTCCCGAAGGCCCCCCTCATACCAGCTTCTAGTCACTAGCCCCTTTCTCTTCAAAGGTAATCACCTATTCTAACTTTTAGCACCACAGGTGCCCTGCTCTGTCCAGGTCTGAGAGTTAACAAAGGCTAAAGTCACCTTCAGGAGTATGGCCATCCTTGGTGGATTGACACCTATGGCTGTGCTCCATTGCAGCTGTTCCCATGCCAAATCTGGGCTCTGCACAGGCTGGAGTGCTGTCTGTTTCAACTCTCTGGGTAGTTCTCTCTGCCAGCTCAGATGTCCATGGGGGTGTGGGGTCTCCTGCAGCTTAGGATTCTGGAGGTTGATGGTGAGAGTGGGCCACTCCATATCTACTTCACTCGCTCCTTCCCTAGGGACTGCTCAGGGCCAAGAACAAGTCCTGAGGCTCAGCAACCCCATGCAGGGTTCCCAACTTCCTTCCTTTCTTTTTAAAATTTTTTTGTTTTGTTTTGTTTTATTTTTTTTCTGAGATGGAGTTTCACTCTTTTTGCCCAGGCTGGAGTGCAATGGTATGATCTTGGCTCATTGCAACCTCTATCTCCTGGGTTCAAGCGATTCTCCTGCCTCAGCCTCCTGA